>NC_000003.12:169160119-169311634 GCF_000001405.40 Homo sapiens | reverse complement strand
TCAAAAAGACCAGGAACCAGATGAAGCCATTTCCTGTATTATGTAAACTGTGTCTAAAGAAGAAATATGCTTGCACTGTACAGGAAAGCATGGTATTGTTTCTAGTGCCATTTGACATTTCTTGCACTATAAAGCAATTGATATGTGCACTACAAGCTAATCATTTGGGGAAGTGTTTTTGATTTTGCTTAGATAGGTATATCATTCAAATTTTAAGACAGTTATTCAAAATTAGGGTGTTTTCAGCTATTTGTTTATTTTGAGAGAAAGTCCCATTTAAAGAAAGTATTATTGTAGTTGGCTATTTTGAACTATCCATGGTCTTTGTATAAACTTACCAAGTTTTTTTTCTCTTATTGTATCACAGTGCAAGCCTTATTATTCATTTTCCTGATAAATATTTTCCTTTCCTAAGGCAAAGCTGGAAATTTACTTGTACCAACTGACATAATTGAATATAGTTATTATCCGGTGCTCAAAGCTCTCTGATGTGCTAGACATGCCCAAGAACTCAATACTGTGACCTTTTTTAAGAGTCATTGTGAAGAACAGCATTAGAGCATGATATAACTGCCACAGCCATGGTTAGCAAAAATGTAATACCTGTTTTCCCACGGCTTTCATGTTTGGATATTACTGTATCTTCTTAATCAGATGTCTCCCTTTGTAATTTAATTTATCATTTAGTTGGTAATTTTGTTGTGTCTACTGCATGCAGGACCCTGGGATAGAGGCTGCAGGTCATGTAAAGAAGCATAGGCTGTGAACCTACTCTCAAGCAGTCTAAAATCCTTTTAAGAAGACAAGCTGTGAGAAAGAACACAGCTATGTCTGTTAGGAAGAAAAAGAGAAGTACTTAAGATTTAAAAGGAGAACAGGTCATCGCATGTGTGCATGTGTGTGTGGTGTGCACATCATAACTAATTAATGCTGAGGAGACTGTAGATCAGTCAATTATTAACTGATTATGGAAAAGGCATTGAAACAAATACAGAAGAGCCAAATAATTGTTAGTGTAGGTTTCTGAACGAGAGTGACAGCAATAGATACACACGCCAAAATCAAAGCAAACAACCAAAACCTTGCTAGGCAATTCTCTAGGAAATCACTAAACAGCATCATAATGACTTTCCAGAATTAATGGGACTTTCCAAAATGCCTATGATAATTTGAAAGATTAACCTGTTTGATGACACAATTTGCTATAAAACTATTAGGTTGAGACACATGGAATAGCCACTTTGTGAGTCATAAAGGACTGAGTATCAGCGATTTCATAAGATCAATTGAATATAAGTGATCTGAAGAAGGCAGAGACTGTGTGTTTTTACTTTATACCTCAGGCCTAACACATGAATCACATATAATAGGTGCTCAGCGCATGTTTATGGACTGGATGTTGAATGTGTACGAATATGTGAAATGTGAAAAAGAATTATGGATTTTTTCTAATTGGGAAAAAATGTCTTTAATCTTATAAAGACACAATGTTATTGGAAAAAATTGCAAAATGGCTCAAGGGAATTGTGTGCTTTGGTTACTTTTAGTAGTTACAGAGAGTTAAGGAACACTGGGTATTAACAGTCTGTCAATGAACAGAAAATGGGAAAAGGGTCCAAGGCCACACTTGTCCTGCATTTAAATGGCCTCTTCCCCGGTCCTGATGTGTGCTGTGCTGGAATGTTTGGTTTTGCCCGTGGTGATCACAATAGCTGCTTCTAAGGCACTTCATAGCATCACACATCCTGACAGGGTCTGCAGACATCATCCAGCCCACACTCTCGCTTTACAGGTGAGGAAACTGAGGCTCAAGGTGGCGACATGAGTTTGCCTTAGTGCTGTCATGTGGTAGCACAACGGGAAGCAAGACTCAAGTTCCTGACTCTCCAGTTAGTGCTTTATCTCTTACACCGTGATGCTTCAACAAGAATTACCCCAAACTGTGATATGGGTGGTTATATGAGCTTAAGATAAGAGTTGAGGCAGATATGGAAATAAAGCCTATTCCAGATATGGAAATAAAGCCATTTCCAGGAAATGAGAGTATTTGTAATGAAAAGCTGTAAAAATCCTAATAATAAAGAGAAGATATGTTTCCTTTTAAGGTTACATCCCACAGCTTTCTGTTTCCCTCTATATGTAATTGTCATTGATTTCCAGATGAAGTTAGTTTTTGGAAGAAAGGACTGAAAAAGAAAATGGGTGTATGATGATATCAGAAGTTTATGCCTGGTTGTGAATATTATTCATATATCTTGAATGAGTTTATTCAATTCTCTGATAATTTTTATAAGATAAAAATATGCAAATATACATTTGCATACTCACATGGACTTCTGAGATTATTTTACCATTTTTTAAATTTAAACTTGCATATGTCATAGAAACCATTTAGGTTTTTTTGTCAAAAGAATGTACTGCTGCTTTGTTTAAAATAGTGTTACTCAGAATTCCTTTCATATCCTTTTTTCTTTTAGATCTTGCATGTTTATAGAGTCCGGTTTCAGGGGAATTCCTTTGGTAGTCTTCATTGAACGTCAGCAAAATATATTATTTTTGGCTTCTGTCCTGATTAACCCAGACGTTTTAATGTGTGTTATGATGGGTTATATGATGGATAGTCACCTGTACCCTGTGATCAGCTAAAACTTGGCCACTTGAGTTAAACCTTAGTGGTGGAATGTCATAATTTCCCATCTTTTGTTTGATTAATACTTCCTTTTGATATCTGAAAGGGAAATGTCTGGAAGTGTCCATCGATGTACAGTCACACTCAGGATGAGAAGGAAGACGTGTCTTTTATGGGGAGAGAATTCAGTTGATCATAACAAGCTCACTCAGGGCAAAGCATCAGACACTCCCTTTTTTAAAAAGGAAAGAAGAAATAAACAGTTTGCTCACCCTTAAAAGTGTTTTTTTCCTAAAATTTTGTTGAGTTAAATACCTTTATTTGGATAAAAAATAATAGCATGTGCAAGAGAATGAACAAAATTCTTAAGTGACGATTGACAAATAAATTTTGTTACAATGCATGAAGTTATATGCAGTGGCTTTAAATTTATAAATATATTGTTGTAAGATGTCACATCAAAATATGTAATTCTTATTTGCCCTTTATTTTTGAACAGTAGATAGAATATTTATTATGCCTAGAGCAGCCCTTGTGTACAAAACCATGACATTCTTTAACACATAGAATTATTTAAGAACATTACCTTCTCACTTTTTTGGAGAGAGGGAGTTCCTTATAACTCCCAATTTATATAATATGTCTCACTGTATCTGTAAATACCAATATTCAGGAAATGCTTAATTACATTCCCAATGTTTACATAGATAGTGTTAATTGATTCACTTTAGTGAATATTTATTGAGCACCTTCTCTAAGTAACTTGGTGTACCAGCAGCACAATAGTAAAATACATAGGCCCAGCACTTGCTCTCCTGGAGTTTATCATCTAGTAAAAGAGACAATTAGGGAACAAGTCAACACATTTACGTATAATTACAACTTGTAATCAGTTTGCTAAATAAGTAGTGAAGGAGAATCTACCTTGCTGTGAAATGGCAGTGAGGGAGGGGACCAGGAGAATATAGAAGAAAGGGGAAGAGTAACCTAACTAAAGTAAATAGTGTGGGTAAATACTTGAATCAGGAAATAATTTGGTTAATTCATGAGACCAAAGAAAGCGAGAGGAGTAGAACACCATGAGTAGGGAGAAGAGTGAAAGGAAATGAGAGTGGAGAAGTAGCAGGATCTGGCCCAGGTAGCCTCAGTGGCCAGGATAAGATGTTTGGGTCGTATTCAAATTGCTATGGAGCATCAGAAACTAGGAGCAGTGGTTCCCTATAGGAGTGGGAGGGAACTAGGTAGATGGGAAACAAGGATGGTAGGGAGGCTTTTCACTGTTTATCTTTTTATACTATTTGTTTATTTAGAAACATTTGAATGTGTTACCTATTAATAGCTTTAAATTTTAAAAATTTAACAGGAGGCCATTTACACTTATAAGTAAGGATGTATCTTAACATGATGCTGCATTTATTTTTATTTATTTATTCTTTTGAGATGAGGCCTTGCCCTGTTGCTCAGATGGGAGTGCAGTGGCATGATCATGGCTTGCTGCAGTGTTGACCTTCTGGGCTCAAGCAATCCTCTCAGCCTCCCAAGTAGCCGGGACCACAGGCACATGCCACCACACCCAGCTAATTTTTGGTAGAGGCAGAGTCTCACCTTATTGTTCAGGCTGGTCTCAAATTCCTGGGTTCAAGTGATCCTTCCACCTCAGTACTGGGATTACAATGATTCTGTTTTTAAATGATTATTTTGGCGTTTGTGTGGAGAAGCTATTGAAGGGGGCAATTCTAGGGAGGTGATGATGCAGCTGTAACTAGAGTGATGGTAATAGATTGCAAAGGGGATTATTAAAGGTTTATTTGGAGGGAGAAAGAAAGTCTAAGAATTATTGATGTTAGGAGTAAAGGAGTGTGAGGGAAACTAGGGTAATTGTTTGATCAATGGAACCATGCCCAATGATATGAAATATCAAGAGAGAAACCAGTTTGGAATGGATAAATCTGAAATTTTGTTTTACAAATGGTAAACTTGGCATGGCTGTTAAATCCCAAATGTTGGCATCAAGTGGACAGTTGGATATGTGAGACTGCACCTAAGGAAGTGGTCTGGGTTGGAGATAAGAGTTTGGGAGTCATCAACTTCCATATGATATTTAAAGCTGTGATAGTGGAAGGGACCCCCTGTGGGGTAAGGAGGAGAAGAAGGCAGAAGACTGAGCCCTAGGCCTTGCCCACACTTTGAGAAGGAGAAAGAAGAAACCCTTTAGGATGACAGACATATACAGCCATAGCAGCAGGAGAAAAACCAGGACAGTGAGGTGTCTCAGAGTCTGTGCATGTTTCAAGAAGGATGAAAATCCAGGGGGCTCTTGTTCTAGTCTGGATTTTTGCTCTTGTCACCCAGGCTGGAGTGCAATGGCATGATCTCTGCTCACTGCAACCTCTGTCTCTCAGGTTCAAGTGATTCTCCTGCCTCAGCCTTTGAGTAGCTGGGATTACAGGTGCCCACCACCACGTCCAGCTAATTTTTGTATTTTTTGTAGAGACAGGGTTTCCCCACATTGGCCAGGCTGGCCTCAAACTCCTGACCTCAGGTGATCCGTAAACCTTGGCCTCCCAAAGTGCTGGGATTACAGGAGTGAGCCACTGAGCCCAGCTGTGGATTCTGCCACTTCTTTCTATTTTATATGTCATCTAATTTCTTGGAAGTTTTCATTTTTCATCTGCTGAATGGGATGAATATGTCTTATCTATCACACAGGCTTGAGATGAGCAATGTTGAGAATATCAGTTGAATTAATATTTTCTTAGTATATATTAATTAATAAAAATCTATTGAACTTATTGCATAATATTCAGCTATAATTATACAAAGGAAGATAATCATGAATTTTTTATTACCTCGATAATGCTTTACTTTAAACACCTGTGCATGAGTGTCATAAAAGATATTTAAATCAGAATTATATTACAAAGTAATATTGAATTAATATGTTTACTTGAAAGGAACAGAGCGGTAACAATGTACCTAGATATACTTATAAAAGGAAAATCTTTAACCAAACTAGAGAATATTGAAATCAAAATATGTTTTTCTATATTATCTTTGTTAACAACTAATGTGTGTCTAGGTGGAGAGACATTCCCAATAACTGCCATTGTTACAGGGTTAAAAAACTGAGTTGAAGTAAGTCATTGGGAAGGGGAAAAAAAAAAACCTTTACACAACTTTGTTAAAGCTAGAACAAAGAGTCCATGGAAAGCACCAGGTGTGACATACAAAAGATAAGGAACAAACTCTTCTGTGTACATATCACTCTTAGATTATTTAATGACTTGAAAGATGACCTCCACTGAAAGGTGTGGCATGAAAGTGAGCATGAAACAGAACACTAATCATATATTTCAGCAACTCTGATTTCCAGTGGGCTGGGCCTTGGTGCTGACAGTCAACGTGTCCATTGTAAGACAGGTTTATTTCTTGCATAAGTTTACCATTATCTTGGAAGCCCTGGTTACTGGCAAGGCACTCTCTGCCTGCCGCCCTCCATGTTTGTTCTTTTTTTCTGCTACTTTGGAACTTAGATATCTGGTCTGATTTCTAAAGTGCTTTGGGCTTCCTTGTGTTGGGATTTTTTTTCCAGCCCCCACAATTAGGCAATCATTTATTAGTCCTTGTCTCGTAATTGAGATGCACATTATCATTCTCCTTGGCTTCTGTGATGACTTGTTACACCTACCTTTTCCACCTCCTTATATCATGAGATTAAAGCACTCAGTGAGCTCAAGTAACATAATAAAATCTGGAATTAATTAACTTCACTGAATATGATTATATTATGAATTAAGTAGCTCCTTCTCAGAGTGTACTGTAACTACCACAATAAATAAACCTATAAAAATGCGGTTTTCAGGGGGTTTAATTTTCAAAAGAGCCTTCACTAATTCTATTAATATTTATTGAGTCCTATCAGTACCTATTGTATCTAACCTCATTTATTCTGATTAGAAATGTCTTGCCTTTCACAGTAGTGTAAATTTACTGGTGAAAGAATAAAGAAATCTTAAGCTACCCTTTCAAAGATCTTATCGTTACAAATGTTTTTTGAGTATCAGCTATGAGCCAGGAACCCTAGCACAGTGCCTTGCACGTAGGAGGGACTCAGCACAAGCTTCAGGAGAGAAATTGAGTGGAAAGAGAGATATCTAATTATAAAAACTAACTCTAAGATGGCATTTTAAGAGACAAAACAGAGGAAGTTAAAAAGATATAGGAACAGGAAAAAAGTACACCAAAGTTATATTTATAATCAGCAAACTAATGAAAGGCTTTCTTAATTATTTTGTTCTTAATACTATGGTAACAATGTTTTCAAAGTTGTCGGAATTTTCAGGTTATTGATTGAGGTGATAGGAAATATTCTATTTAATGTTGCTTTAGCTAGACTGCCATTTTATCTTCTGTGTAGCTCAGTAATACTTATTTTTAAAATATAAGGAAAGCACTTCAACTTCTGAATGGTCCAGCAGCTTATAAATGTGGCCTAGGGTCCAAGAATGGTGTGTTTCATCACCATTCACATTAGATCCTTTAAATTAAATTTATATTTTTATACATTTTATTACTTGTCAATTGGCTCCAACCAGAGGTCAATAAGGTTGAAAGAACAGGAACTGAGGATACATAAAAAACTTTTAGGTGTATTGATTTGGCTGAATTATTCTCATGGGAACAAAATACAAAGTAAGTCAACACTAAAATTAATTTTTTATATTAATTCACCAGCTGAACAGATGATGTATAGAAGTGCGTGGAAATAGCTTCACTTTGACATTTATTTTAAAATATCAAGGCTGTCATTACATGCACAGCTGGATTAACTATTAAAAGTATTTTCTGAGCCCAAAACTATACTGATAATTTGATTCAATTGATTCATTGGAAGTGAGAAGATTGGAAAATTCCTCCAGAACCCATCTCTCATGCATGAGGGGTGATGAAATTGCTTCCCTTGAGCAAACACAAAAGCAGCTTCATTGCTTTGTAGTCACTTGGACTTAAAATTCATATTTTTTGAAAGCAACCACATTTCTTGCAGCTATTCACAGGAGTTCTCATGACCCTCTCTGATAACCAGCAGTGTCTGATCTCATTGTTTAGAAGCTCATCCTTTTCTTCCTGAGAAGGAACTGTTTATTTGGCATTAGGCCAATATAGCCAAAGGAAAGAAGATAAACTAAAAACCAAACCAATAAACAAAGTCATTTAGTGATTTGAGACAGTGAGGGAAAATGGCAGAGAGGTGCATAAAGCTTCCAATTCACTGGATTTATGGTATTGGAAACAGGATTTGGCTTTTTGAGTATTTGAAAAAATAAAGGGTTAGACAAAATCAGGATTGGATACTCACAACTTTGGGGCTGCTTCTGGTTGATACAGTTTTCAGAAGAGAAAGAAATTGAGTTTGAATGCCTTAAGTGGACTGTGTGGTTTGTTTCACATGGATTTCACCACTCCCTGTTATCTTACACTTGAGTGTTCACATCTTTACACTACCGCTTAAGGTCCCAGATATTGCAACGTCTGTTATGAATGACTTCTAACATGTCTTCCACCTCCACTGTTTTATGAATCTTTAGGTCAGGCACAGAGTTGGCATTTAGTAAACATATATTGAATAAATGAATGAATAGTAGTGTGATATATATATATATATCTGTTTCAAGTTGGGTTAGCCATGAATTCCATGAGTGAAATTTTCTGAAAATGCCATCAATGTGTGTCATTACATGGAGAGGAAAGAATGGCAAGGAACTTTCTTGTTTTGTGGGAAGGGGGAAGTTAGACTTTTGATGATGTTACAGACAATTGGCTTGGAATTTGTAGAAAATATGTAAAATGGTTTCTTTTAGTGAAAATCCAAAGAATTCTCTTGATCGGTGACATAAATTTATTGGTGGTGTTTTTCATGTGACCTTTTTGGGTGATCATTGTCTTAGAAAGAAATAATGTAAGAGTAGTTGAGTATATGTCATCTCTCTTCAAATAAATATTAAAGATGTGAAAATAATCTGAAAGAGGACTCCTCAGTGTGTTTAGGTTTTGGCTCTGTTCAAATTTTTCTTTGTTGTTAATCTTTTATCTGGTTTAGTAAAATCTAGTTTGTTTCTAAAATGTTACGCTTTTTTTTTTTGAGACAGAGTCTCCCTCTATTGCCCAGGCTGGAGTGCAGTGGTACAATCTCGGCTCATTGCAATCTCTGTCTCCTGGGTTCAACTGATTCTCCTGCCTCAGCCTCCTGAGTAGCTGGGATTACAGGTGCCTGCCACCACACCCAGCTAATTTTTGTATTTTTAGTAGAGATGGGGTTTGCTCATGTTGGCCAGGCTGGTCTTGAACTCATGACCTCAGTGATCCACCGGCCTCGGCCTCCCAAAGTGCTGGGATTACAGGCATGATCCACCACACCTGGCAAATATTACACTTTTAAAATTTATATTTGTTCATAGTTTTTCCCTGGTTCAAAAAATATTCATTCTATTCATTCTTTCAATCAATATTAACCAGGCGATAATTATAATGTAATAATTGTTTGAATTCACCAGATTTCTTTTTATTTTAGAGAAAAACCAACAGCAACAACAAAACCCTGAGGCACACAGACTGGGCCATGGGAAACAAACTCTGCCATTTTCACAGCAGGAGGTGTTGTGCCACCCCACGGCATTCCTGGTCCCTCTGCCTGCCCTGGAGCATTGGCACTGTGTCCAAGCTCTACCTTGAATCACTGATTCTCTTCTATTGTCTAAGACTGTGCTACATTTCTAACAGGACTTGATACATGGACATGTGTCTTCCTTTTCTCTACTTGTCTTGAAGCCACAGATACAGATTGTATATATTCAAGTTCAGCTATTGCTGGAGTGTCTAGTCCTGTCGGGCCCCAATTGTGTTTAAAAAGGCAAGGTAGTGGAACTCTCTTCATATTTGATAACCTAGAGGGAACATTTTAAAGCAATCATTGACATTTAGGAGGCATATATTCACTAAAAACCCCTCTTTGACATCTCCTAGAATAAGTACAGTCTTCTAAACATCATCTGGGTATTTAAACAAGCTGCACTGATGTCAGTGCTAAGCCCCCCTCCTTTGTGTTGCCCCCATCATATTGATTTATACTTGAAGGAAATGGACATAAAAGGATCCTGTATTTGGGGTTTATAAATTTTACAGAATAGGCTATAAATGAAGGATTAGTTTGTAAGTTTCACCTTGGTATTATTCTCAGTAATATAAATCCTATAAATATACTTTACTTGATTAACATGACTGAAAACTGTCATCAAAATTAGCATATCTTTTACATATCAGAAGCATCTTACCTCTTGGTAATTACATTATTTGATTTTCCTAGAGTAATGGGGAAAATTTTAATTTAGTTTAAAATATGAATAATGTTCACACCTGCAAACCATTATTCTGCCTCCTTAAATTTCAGGGTCTCATTCACATCATCTTACATTTCATTGCTTTGTTTGGGGATGGTGTTGAAAAAGTAAAATCATAGGACATGCCACTATTGTTGATTCTAAGTGAAAAGCCATAGGCTATCAACACTGCTAGTGCTTATTTTCTGCATTATGATAGAAAAAATAAAAGACATATTTTCTCCCAACTTTCCCTAGAGTGGATTGGGTGGCATCTTGCTTCACATGATATGAATCATACATTTTCCTTCTATTCAGATCTCTGTATTTCTATAATCACTTTGTCAACTTTAAGAAGGAGAGGAAAATGTTTTGATTGGAGGAATAAAGTCTGTTCAGGTTAGACATAATCTAGTCAGACACTCACCTTGTGCAGCTGTTTCACTTTCAGAGAATAATCATAACATTGTGTAGAATGATGATGAGATATGTTATTATCTAACAGAATCGCGCCGATATTTAATTAATTCCACATTAGCCAACTAACATGTTAAAAGAGAGCTGTGGCTAAGGTTTAAATACTGAACCCACAATATAGAAACAGAGCTAAGAAAGATTGCTTCAAGTTAATTCAGTAACTAGTGACAGCACGAGAAACAGAACTAAAAGTTCATGTCTTAGTTTAGGGCCACTTATTGAGCGAAGCCTTGACAAATCATAATATAACCCAACAAGGTGTTGGAGTGGCTATAAAAGCTAATAGAACCCCAGGCTCCAGTATAGAAGTACAGTGACCTGATTTAATGGGGTAATGGTTAGCTCTGTTGTACTCTCCTCTGGTTGGAACCCGTTTGGGTTATCGTCTTTGTTTGGGGACACTATGTTTTGAGAGAGAGATTCATGAACTAGAAAGCTTCCAAAGAAAGGGCACAAAGATAGCAAGAAGTGAGATCATGTCAATAAATGGAAGGACCTAAGGATATTTTAGAAGAGAACACTTAGAAGGTACATGAGGACTAGCTTCAAATATCTGAAGGGCTGTCATGTGCTACCATGATTAGACTTGTTCATTGTTTTTACATCAGCAGGTGTGAAATTAAGACTATGAGTCTAAAACTTTAAGAGGGTATAGAACATTTGAACAATTATAACTGTTTTGAGTCAACTGGGTTAACTAAAATGTTGTGAGATAGTATAACCATAGGTATTTGATAAACGCCGCAAGATCATTTTATAAATGTTTTCTATTTGAATGATTTATAAGAGAGGCTATCATCTAAGATTCTAAGGTTTCTTCTTAGTATGTAAATTATGATTATTTACTATAAAATATCATTCATTTTCTTACTGTGAGAGCAGAAATTCAATCTTTAGTGGCTTGCATTCTCTTTATTAACAGAGTCAAATCTGTAATTATGACAGTGGGCTAGGCTGCTCTTAAACAAAGGTTATGACTTCATGGCAATAGGCTGAGGGCCAAGAGATAATAATCTTAGGCTGACATAAATCTGAAACAATCCATGAAATTGTTGAAAAACATTATCAGAGTGCACTCAGTTAGGCTCACCTCTGAAGCACAGCACAAACAATGAGTCCCTTAAGTTTTGCAAGGTTTCTATGAGGGACTCGTGGCTGTCTCAGACATGTGAGGGAGTGGAGGGGAAAGGAAAGTGAAATGATATGGAAGGAATCAAGAATCAAGAGCTTTGTGACATCAATACTTATCCACATTCATAGTGAAGGCTCTCTCCAGCCTATTTGTAAAAAAAATTATGCAATTTGTTTATTTTTATATTTGATTTCTTTGTGGGGCAAAGAGCAGGAGACCAAATAGCATCAGAACTTGAGGTACATTAACCAGAAAAAATGTTTAGCTATTCTAGTGAATACACAGTTTGAATGAAAATGTGGTCATTAAAATTCCATAGTGGCTGAGCAGTGTGCTGATATATATGGAATTATGCATATGGAATGGGGCTGTGATTCATGAAGTTCAGTAGAAAAGAGCTCTGTAGATCAGATTCCGGGTTCAGGGGACTTTGAGATGGGGTCTGTCTGGTCTGACTGGGGTGAACTTTACTTTGAAAGGTCTTGAGTGATTTGCTGAAGGAAAAGCTGTTAGTAAATGATACAATGGCGACTCAAACCCAAATCGGGTGACCTAATCTTATACTCCAGGCCTAATCTTTACTTAATTTTATTCCAAGAACATTTTGATCCTGGTAGAATCAGGTGAGGAAGGAAGAGCAACCACAGCCTGGGCGGGAAGGAAAATCTTGAGGAGCTCTGGCGTGGGTGTGCACTGGGTGGGGAACCCAGCCCCTCCTCTTGGCCTCGGTTTGGGCGGCGGGTTTACAGTCTTCATGCTGGGAGAGCTGCTTTTTGAACCATCTGTCTGCAATAAACGGGCCTCCTGAGTGTGGTGTCTTGGGCTCTAATCCTTGAGTAATGACTATAGGTGGAAATTGTCTCTGAGGCAATTCCTAGTGAGAACTAGGAGTTCTAGGAAGGATCTATTTGTTAAAAATCAGCCAACAGCAATTTTCCCTTTAACTGTCTTCTCTGAGTCTTTGCTCCTTAAATATTCATGAAACTTGCAGTGATTTCAGATTAAAGATCTCTCCAAGATAAGTAGTTCCCAGAATCTTATATCCATGGTGGTATCTGGATTCGTTTCTAAGTTTCCCCTATTATAGTTCGAAATCCCTTTGCAAAGCTTGTATTGCTTTCATTTACTGAAAATGAACAATGCTGAGGCAGGACCCAAAGGACATTAAAACCCCATTATAGTTCACTTCCTGAAACCACACATTCGGTCATCCTGCAGGTAAAATCACTTCCCCGTGCGTACAGGGGAGTGTAGTGTTTCCTCCTCAGTGCAGCTGCAATGTCTCTAAACTGGTGTCTTTACTAAGAGTTTGTTGAATGAATAAATAAATTCAGATTATTTCATGTCCCAAGTCTTCTTGTGATTGAATTTGATTCTTAGAATGGAGATGGAATCCATGTGACACATTCTATTCTAAGTATCTTCAAATCATTACAGTACCCTAGGGCCAAATTCAATCTTTGATTTGAATTAAATACTAATATAATTTAATTAAATACTAGAATTATAGTATAAGGAGATATGTATATATAAATAGATGGAAATATTAATAGATGTCAAAATATGGTTTATATTATATTATATATGAAATGTTATCAATATAAAGACACATTTCTCTCTGCATCTTCATATTGATAACATTTAATATACATATCTCATTTAATATATAACATTTAATACATATGTATCTTTGTATGTAAAGAGAGAACCATATGTGTCTTCATATTGATAACATTTAATATGGTGTATATTAAGAAGTATTTTTATATCGATTTCCATTCTGTTTTATTCTTTGTAAAGTAGAAGGCATATAAATACAGATACCATAAAGCTAATCCACTCCGTAAATAAAAGACATTTTTATAACACAGAGATTTTTCCAAGAAGGAAATTGGTTCTTCTCCCACCCTCTAAATTGCTCTTTATTAAAAAGAAATGTGTTTGTTCAGGTTTATTTCTCCCGATGCTGGATGATAATATTGCCGTGGATGATGTATAATCAGTTTTTATGGTGATGTTCCCACAAAAGGAGTGGTTTGGAAGTGAACAAGTTACTCTATGGTATATTCAAAATTCTCCTTTTGTCATGTTAGGCACTTCTCCTACTCTGTTTCTGTTTATGGTATCAAATCACAAGGACCTTATGTAAAACTTATTTCAAACATTTGAGATTTTAGCACACTTTTCAGATTATTACTTGAAACTCTCCTGAAAGTTTGCACATTTGCCATGAGGAAGAATTTAATAACAACACAAGAGTCTTGTGGCTCTCTGACTTTTGTCTTTCTGAGGTATTCTTTCCTCTTAAGCTAAGCTGATCAGTCAAGATTATCATTGACGTTTACATTGAGATAGAAAAAATGATTTTTTTTAAAATAATATTTTTTTAATAATTACCAGCAGCATTTGAGTCAGAAGAGATACCTCAAGCTGAACTGTGTGGTAGGTTCCTGACCTGCCTCAGTGCTGTTGCTTCTGTTAAAAAAAAAAAATCAGTTGTAACAAACCCAGGCAAAACAACCTTACATGGTCAATAGAATTTTTAATTGCAAAGATTTCCTCTGACGTGAGTGTTAATGAATGTCAAAGCAATAACATAAAAAGACATTACTTGTTTAATGATTGATAGAATAAGAAAAACACAAGGTCTTTTGTCAGATAAATGACTACTGTTTGGTGTTCCTTTACCTCAGGAGTATCAAAAGTGATCTCAGATAGGCAATAATAGCCCAGGAGCTAAGGCAGCAAGTATGATGTAGCCTGTTAGATTATAACCAAAGGAGGAAGGCTAATTAATTTGTATCAGTGTACTTGTTTTCTCACATGGCAATTTTGACATACTTTAGCATTTTTGGTTTGTTTGGATCCTTCATTGAAACTTTCTGAAGAATTTAAATAAGCATGTAAAATTTTATGGGACTGGCTTTGTCTATCTGCAGTGCAGGTGTATTACTAAAGACAATTTAATTATTGCTCCAAATTGTTGAAAGAGCACAGCTGGTGGTGTTTGGTTTTGTACAGATGTTGTTGTGACACAGATCTATAACATGAAATGACAATGGTGACATCTAACAATTGCAAAGTAATAGCCACCAATGAGTTTTGTTTTTCTAAGCTATAGTTTACACCTCTGGGGTGTCTAATATTTGCTATGATATGCTCTTTGCATGCTTAAAGAATTAATGGTGACATATTCTGTATGATTAAAACAAACTTTGCACCATGTTTACGAGTATGAGAAGCATTGTAGGTCAGTTCTCAGGTTCATCTCAGGCAAAACACCTTTAAGTTTCAAAAGTGCCAAGTCTATTCCTGTTATTTATTTTCCTCACTCCTTTATTACTATAATTCCATTACTTCTTTGTGAATCAAGTCATGTTATGCTCCTTGTAACTGGCTCTGGGAAAAGCTGGTAAACAATCTTTAGGGGAACTAGGCGTGGATTTCAGTTGAAAACTCTGCCCATGTAGCTAATTCCTATTTGCTCAGAATGCCCTGAGTTTACTGATGGTCTACAAAGAACTTGTGTGGATGTAATCTTGCTGGCAAATCCACAATACAACATAATCATGGCTTCTTACAGAGCAAGTTTATTGCAGCTGTTGAGGGACCATAACTAAACCTTCCTTCTGCGTCCACCAGCCTGCCGCCAAGAATATTTCTTTGGCGTTCTTGCTCTTCTCACTCCCACTCACTCTGTTCTCACAGATCTGGGAGTGTTATAGGATGCCACTTGTCTGTCCTGCTGATTTTCTCATGTCCTGCCTGAAAACTTAACCTAAGATCATTGTTGTGAGTAAGAGGGCAATGACTTAGGAGTCCCATAGCTGGAGGGGGAAAGCAAGGGCCACTACAGACTGCTGGGGAGGCATCTATGTGGGTCTGGTCAAAAAAGTGACTTGAGAATGGTGAGGCTCAGGTTTCATTTCCCTTTTCACTCATCAGGTGTTTAAGTTACTGGAACCTATTCTTGAGTGCTAAAGGTGTTCTATCTGAACAGACTATGGTTGAATCAGGCCAGAGCAAGGTCAGTTGGTTCAACCAATATGTTACTGTTGTATGAGAGCTGAAAGGCCTGAAAAAGGAAAACAAACAAGCAAACAAACCATCAAACAAAACCTCACTTTCTTCCTCCACTTGTCCATGAATATACTTGTGATTGTAATACTTGTTTTTTATTCTCTTTGTGCAGTCATTTCTAAAGTTCTGTGAAAAGGTGTCTTTGCTTTGTTTTGTTTTGGTGGAGGTAGAGAGCAGCACGGGCAATGTCCCTGGTACAATTTACCCAGAAACTGAGTATTTATGTTGACTTTAAGGAGAAGAAGAAGAAATGAAGTTTTCCCCAGATATTTGAGGATAGGTAGGTAACATTGATGTTCAAACATAAAAAGAATTTGAGAGAATGCTACTAGTTTATTTTACCTTCTTGCAATGTTGTTTTAAAGGCATAATGGAAATGTTTTCTACAAGTACTATGCCCTACAATAAAGTAATTTAATTCATTTATAAAAATCTCAACTTTGAAATACTATATTGTATTTTGAAAGTGATATTGTACTTTTTAATGTTTTTTCATAATTATACATCATCATCTGAGACATTTCTGATACCACTTTATAATTTTAGAATAGCAGATTCAACTCAACCCTTTTAAAAATTTAGGTACATTGAAATTTGGGTATGCTGCCACCAGGTGGTGGCAAATCCTTCGAGTCACGTGTTATTGTAATTTAACTTTTTTTAACCCTTTTAAATAAAAGCAATAGGAAATCTTTCTTTAAACAATATCTTACTCAGAAACCCAATATATAAAATAGATAAAAGTCAACCTAGATCCTATGGTGAAAGTGGGACAGGAGGTTCAAAGCCAAAGGTCTGTGCTCATATCTTTCCTCTGATGATCTCTGAGGAACCTCAGGAAGACAGTTTGAAAATCCCCATCTCAATTATAATGCACATATTTTACGTAACATTAAGATAGAAAACATTTTTTTTTAAATAAAGAAAACTAAGCAATAGAAAAGATAATCTTCTAGAGCAGGAAGAAAGACCGAGAAAGCATTTATCAGAGCAAATGGAGGAAAAAGAGGGTGCTTGTGGATCCGGATCAAATGTGATGTGGTGAGTGAAGCAGGCATGGGCAAGAGCATGAATATAAGCCCAAACTGCTGAGAACTCTGTCCAAGCAGACCAAGCTCTGTTTGGGCACAGTCAGGACGTACTGGAGATTTTGGAAGAAGGACTGAGGCAGGAGGGTATGATTGTCCTGAGAGTCAATGATTGACTGAACTTCTTCAGATTTTTAGATTCATCATTGTCCAATAAGCTCCTTAGAGCTGGGGCTGGGATCCCAGAGTATAAGGTCATCAACTTAAAGGCTGATAAGCCTTGAGCTGTATTTGGTTGTTTGTTTGTTTTTCTAGTGGCTTCTCTCCCATGTGATGAGAGAGGACAGAACAGACTGCATAGCTGCCTGTTTACCCAGCTCCATACAATGGGGACATTTGAGCAGAGACCAGGCTACTGCTTCTGCCCCTCTTGAGTCTTGTCTTGGCTAACATTTTTACTTTGTTTGTGACCTTACGCCAGTGCCCTCCCAAATGATCAATACATTAGTTAAAAGCAATGTTTTTCTCTGTGTTTGGCTAACTTTCCCCTGAAAACACCTGCCTGTAGAAATTGCAAACTCTCCCAGAAACTATTTTCTAAAATGATTATTTTCTCTCAAAATATCTTAAAATACGGAACCTAATGCAAGCTTTGAACAGACATGTAGATAAGGCAAGTATAGTGATATAACTATTCTACATTACAGAAAACCAAGATCCTGGAAGGTTAAATGGAAATACAACAACTTAAAAAAAAACTCACTAATCAACTAACCAAAAAAAACCCATAAATAGTTAATGATAAACCAATAAAATCACTAGGGTGTCTTAAATCATATAGTTGTTCTAAGAAGTGTGTGTGTATAACCTACATGCAGTAATGAGTTTCTAGTTGACATGATAGAGCAAGGTTAGAAAGAGGAAATGTTAGAATTAGGCAAAATGATAGAAAATGCAAGAATGATTGGAAATAGCCCTGAGCCTCTCAGGCTGAGGTCTCCACCTGAGGACTGTGATCAGGTTATTTCAGTGACTCTCACCTGTTACTGGGGCTAGACACTGTAGATCACACTGGCTGGTAATCCCATAAAGTATCAAATCATTGATTCAATAAATATAAGCTGAATACCTACTATGTTCCAGGCACTATTCTGAAATCTAGACAAACTCCATACCCTCATGGACTTTTTAGTAGGGGCAAAGAAAATGAATAAATACAGAAACAAATAACTATATAATGTTTGGTAATAATAACTGCTATCAAGAAAAGTGAAGATGAGGAAGGGGATAAAGAGTAAAGGGGGAATTGTAGCACACAGAAGGTTTGGTACTTAGAGCAGGGGTCAGGTGTAGCCCCTCTGAGCAGGGACACTGGAACAGAAACCTGAAAGGAATAACAGTGAGCCATGGGGCTAGCTTCAGAAAAAGCATTTCAGCCTAAGAGAATAGCAAGGCCAAGGCGGCCGAAGAAGAAACCAACTTGATGTTTCAAAGAACCAGAAAGCCAAACACACGAGGCTAGTGCGAATGAATGAGAGAGGAGCAGTGAGGTCAGAGAGGAAGGGCCTCAAAGGCCATGGTGAGGAGTTTGGACTGAATGTGATGGGAAGCCAGGAGAAGACCCTGACGGCTGTGTGGTGAATAGACGGTGGGGTGAGCGTGAAACCATGAAGGTGAGTTAGGAACCTACTCTGGAATTCCAAGAGTCATGATGGTGGCTGGAACTAGCACTGCTCATGCCAGATAACTTTCTCTCAGACTCTCGGCATGCTCTGTTGATTTGTTCTAGCTGACTCCTCCTGCGATAGGTATTTAAAAGACAAATGTCAGCCACCCCTTTGCTAGTCATGGAGGTACCTATTATTAGTTATAAGATGGCCTGGAGCTGAGGTCTTGGATAAGTCACTTCATCTCACTGAGCTTAGGTGGTCCACATTGGGTCCTTTTTTAGGTCTGACATCCTCTGAGCCCTAATTTTTGTGATTGAGCCTTAATGAGCTCCACCACCCAAGATGACCACAGGGGCAATGGAAATCATTAGAATGCCCCACATGCCTCTAAATTGAATATAATTTGATCCAGATCTTTTTCCATTCCCTGGGAGGCTGCAAACATTCTGCAATACCCGAATTCAGATCTTCAGTCTCCTATTAGGCTGATTTAGGAAACCCTGATGACAAGAATGGTCACTGGGTAGAGATGGTACCACCAGAATTCACCCTCCCCTTCCCATAACCAGCTGTCATGCACTTCACCCTTATGGTTCTCAAAGTGGCCCTGTGAGCCTTTTCAGGGCCCTCCTTAATATTCAGTTGAATCTGACCTTGTGGCTCAGAGAGATCACTGGGAGATAACAGATATCTTGCATCTCCTAAATTAGCCTGCACAGAGCTCACAGTAGAATTCTGGCATCTTGTTCAGAAAGCAGAATATCACAGGGTTGAAACAATCAATCCTGAGTTTCAGGAAGGGATTCTGTAGGGGCCTTTCATCCTTGCACAGTGAATAGATCTTGCTTCATCATCTATCAGTTCAATCTTTTCATTTATGTTTATGATTATCTTTATTTTATTTTATTTTGAGATGGCATCTCACTCTGTCACCCAGGCTGGGGTGTGGTTGTGCGATCTCAGCTCACTGCTACCCTGCCTCCTGGGTTCAAATGATTCTCTGGCCCGAGTAGCTGGGATTACAGATGCACTCCACCATGCCCAGCTAATTTTCGAATTTTTAGTAGAGACAGGGTTTCACCATGTTGGCCAGGCTGCTCTCAAACTCCTGACCTCAAGTGATCCACCTGCCTCGGCCTCCCAAAAAAATGCTGGGATTACCAGCATGAGCCCCAATCTCTTTAAAATACAAAACGCCAAACTAGTTGCATAATCATTTGTGGTCCAGTATAAGGGTCATGTTTCATGCCTCATACACAAATGGTAGACAATAAATTTTAAAATGTGAATCTGTTGAAACAAATATCAGCTCTTGAGTTTTTGCTTGAAGTATGCAGCTCCCTGTGGTATTATTCACATGATCAGATTCTACAGAGGAGAATACCTAGTATTCAAGATGATACTCAAATTTAGACACAGAATCAAATACTGATGTGAAACATGCAGAGTAGCTATCTCCATACTAAACAAAGCAAAAGAAAGTTTTATTGGATCAGCATGTATGCACTGCCTAGAAAAACATTTCAGAATGTTCTATACATCTGAGGCTTGAAATAGAGCCCACTTTCAATAATAGATGCTATAACAATGACTATATCCAATGGGTTAATTAACTTGTCTTTTAGTTTTAGAAATTTTAACTTAGTTTATGAGGGAACAGATTTTCCTAGTTTTGATGTGTTCCATACCAGACATTTGCCCACTTCTCCTAAATATAAACTGATCTCCCACACTGACAGAGAGGATTGAGCATTTCTGAAGTAGGCTGAGGTAAAGGAGAAATTTGAGAATTTCCTGAGGAATTTAGAGGAAAGTATAAGCCAAGTTTTAGGGCAATTATATTTACTGTTTAAAATTAATAATTATTATACTCTTCTATAATATGTCATGTTACAATTAGTTATAATATATGACTAATTTTCCCAGGAACTCAGTTCTTCCTTGATAGTGAGTTGGAGGCTGCATACTTTGGAGAAAGCCCTAGGGAGCTGGGCTTATTCAAGTGGGGGAAATGAAGGATAAAGGGTGATTTATTGACTATTTTCAAATAATGGATTTTTCCAATAAGGAGGATGATGTTGGACTACTGTTCACCAAAGTTTGAATAATATGAAATGAGCTTCGACTGAAGGATGCAAGATTTAGGTAAAGTATATAGAAGGATTTCCTTTTAATAAGTGGAGTTCAGCAGAGATAGATTCCCAGGCCACAAAGGTGGTAGTGGTAGTAGGCAGGTGGCTGGTAACTGTTGAAAATGTGAGAAAACCACCAAAAGTAAATGAAAGTATGGAGTGTAAGTCATGATTTTGTTTGTTCTGCTACATTCTAAAAATTGCAATTTTTTTCATGAGAATGAAACATGAAAACCACCACCATATCCAAGTACAGTCCATGATCCCATTTAAGAGAACTCCATGTAACATAGACCGAAAACTAATTTTACCCAACCCAACTCGAGAAATGATTTTTTGCCATTATCAAAGCATTTTCAGTATTTATGATCTAGAAATACAGCTTTATTCACTTTTATGGTACAATTCTATTCAAAATTAAAATGTACACCATCAGCATCATCAGAGTTTATTGGTTAAGTCACCCAACAGTTTTTAAGAGCACAGCTCTTTACTTGCATCCACAGCATCTGAAACATGCCATTTTTAAAATCTGTGTATGTGGCTGTCACTGGGAGGCTCATCTCAGGTCCAAGTACATAATCATGTAGGTCTGGAGCTATTATTTTTTTTCATGCATCCTGTGGGTGCACATTCATGGTCTCTACAAAGTCACTTTTTTTCTATATACGTTTAAAGGTTATTTTAAAATTATAGAGCAATTCATGAAATATTTGCAATTATGAGATCATACTCAAAGGAATAACTAATAAATCTGGGTTAAATAATGTTGACTTTTTAAAAAATGATTTCATTATAAGACGTCTTTAAACATACAAATTAACCTTGATTGTAGTTTTTTTCCCCCAGTTACTGTGTTTTTCCCAAAAATATCTCAAGTGTGCCCCATAATGTACAGAGACTTTATTAACATTTGGATACAGCATGCTTTGTCTTTTCTAAGGGATTTTTTTTTGGGAAATGATTTGTTTTATTTGGACATATTAAAGCATCTATTCTCTCCAACACTATTGTTTAGGGTAGTATCGGGGCTGATATACTTAAGGTTACTGTTGTCGGCTTCTCAAGGTGTAGTCTAAGCATAGAACCTTTCATTAAAGGGCAATGCTACAGCAATCCAAAATAGTTAACACTCCTCCTGGTACCTTCTCAAGAAGAGAGTCATGTCCCAGAGGTGGGCTCACCAAGCTACTTTTAAATTATGCTTCAATCTGATGACTTCAACAGGGTTTAACTTCACTTAGTGGCAAAGCTTATTTTCAGGTTTCCATATATGAGACACAAAGAAATAACTAGCTAAATACAAGTTGTTTTCCAACCTCAGATGGGAAGTTAAAATTCCTGCTTCTATTTTCTAATTCCTCCTCTTTATTCCCCTGCCCGAGCACTACAAAACTCATCAGGAGTTAATTTTTTTTAGCCAAGTGGTAATCATTTGATTTTAGTCAAACTCTCCATTGGCCTAATACAAATGCCGAGTAAGAGATGAGGGTTGCACAGCCTGTCAGGGGTAGCTCAAGTAGCTGTTTGTTCAAAGTATTTGCTGAAGCAGAAACAACCCTTTTTGTTTTGAAAGCATGTTAATGTGCTAATGAAATGCACAAAGCAAAGAGGTTCATCCATATAAATGGGTCATTTAAATAATGAACAAGAAGGAAGGATGTGGTTTGGTGTCAGTACTGATTAATTAGGACATAAAAATAAGTAACCATCCCAACATTGGCTGCCTCCCTTGAAACTTACTCTATTAGTGGGCAATGAAGTTAATGCAATTGACAATATAATTACAGGTTAGTGAGCAGAACAATCCACGAGGAGGTTCTTGTTTCATTTACAGCTTTAATTAGCTAGATAGCATCTCTGTGTTAATTTTCTCATCTCTACCTTGCTAATCTTCTGGTCCTCATAGAAACAAAAAACCTGTTGTTTTCAACTAATTTCTTAGAATGTTTTGGGTACCACATATAGATATATAGTATTGTTCTAGGTATTCAATTCAACTAACTTTTATTAAATGTCTACCATCTGATATTCACTGTGCAAGCACATGCTAGTGAGTTTATAGAACTGTACTTCAGATAAATGCAACGACGTCCACCAGCGACTTATTTTTATTGCTCTCTTCTCTGGAATCCTTTTGTCTTTCATAAAAAAAGTTCATAAAGTTTCTAAGGTCTGGTGTTAGTGGACTGTGTTGAAGTTGATGGCATATTGTCAGATTTATTCCTTCACCAAAGAGTTAACCTTGAGGCAACTTTATGCAATCTATTTTACACAATCGTGATTGAGGATAACACAGGTAGTTGAAAGTTAATTATCAACTCTGCTTCAAATACTGACGGAACACCTAACTTGAGATCTATTAGCATCACTGGAGGTCATTGAGACTACTGGAAGGGCACTTGGAACACACACACACAGACGCACACGCAGCAGATTACATGAGACAACAACAAAACCCCATAGAATACCACTTCAGATGCCTCCCCACCCCAATAAGCGTGAATGTGATTTGATTAGTATTTTCTTGTTACTATTAAATGATGGCTCTGCTGCTCGTTTTGGTTCAGGACAAATCAACTGCCAATTGCTAAATATTCTCAAAGAACTAATTTCATTCTGATAGAACCTTTTCAATGTTATATTCAAAAAGCCCATTTTTAACCTTCCAGTGTAGAAATAACTTTCTTATATTGTGAAATGAAAGAAGAAATCAAAATTAAGTTGTGTTTTGGAGAATAAAGAAGAAAGATACTCTTTATGTTGTAGCAATGATTTGTATCAGATTCCTTCTCTAAGATTTGTACTTCTTATATTTATTTTTCTTGCCTATTCCCCAGGTTTTTAGTTCAAAGTAAATTATCAAGATTTTTTTTTTTTTTACTAAAACTTGCCTCTTTCCTCTTTCTCCCCCTACCCCCCAAGTGTAAAACATGGAGAAAGCAGAATTTTCTGTTTTTTCCATAATGGTTCATTTGTATTCTCTGAACCCAAGACTAAGGCAAGTTCTAATGTCTTACTGTTTTATATCACCACTGAGGTAGCAGTGACATGCTGGCTGCTGATGAATAAATATATTTATCTGGCTTCTAAACCTGCTTACACTGTTGAATAATGAGCAGATGTTAACAATTACTCTAAATGTCTTGGATATTTTGTAAAACTTTTATCAGACTTAGAGTGGTTTATTGATTTAGTCAGAATCATGCCCTGGGCACAAAACATATTGTCGTATGGGATTCAACGTGGGCGGAATGCATGTCCATTAACATTTTAAACTCCTATACAAGGGCCCTGCTTCTGGAACCTTCTGAACAGTAGGTATCTCTAATATGTTCTTGCTCTTCCTGCATAAACCAAAGCATATTTATTGACAATTTTTTTACGGCCTCACTTTTAAGGATACAACAATTGTATCCATAAAATACAATTCCTAATTGTACAAATAATTAGGAATGAAAAAAATGAATATAGGATTTGAACACCAGCTTCATGCATTTCAAGTAAACATTACAATCCAGCACAGTAACAACTACCCATGTTTGTTTCTAAAGTAAATCAACAAAAATCTATATTCCCATTTCTCTGGAATTATGCTTTGTTTTTTATTTTTTTAATAACATCAAGCCATTTTAGTTGAATGATACAGAAAGTCACTTTGAATTCAAATATAAAATAAGGTCATCCATCATGTTAACAATTTAATTACCTGAGTATATATTTTTCCAGCAAAACAAAAAAAACATTATTTGTTGTGTATCTTATTACTGAGCTGTTGCCTCAGGACAGCTTGGCTGTCAGTGGACAGGCCCTGTGGTAAGCAATGGTGAGATAGGGAGCAGATAAGCCTGGCAGTCCTCTGCCTTTCTTTCAGGCCCTCTCCATCCGTGTTTCCTGGAGGCCTTACCTGTTAGGGTCCTTGTAATCTTTGTGGCAACAGTGAAATGGTGACTTGTAAAGGCAGCGAAGCATGACAGAGAGAGAGAAAGGGTCGAATGAAATAGAAATGTGATATTTTCTATCTTCGGAGGGCCCAGGAAATAGGACTCCAGCTGCCGAGCTGGGGTTTGGCATTCAGTATCACACCGAGTACAAGGAATGTTGTGAGATTTATTATTTAGGACTCATGGAAGAGGCAAATTAAACAATGCACTAGTTTCTCTTATTGTTTAAGTAGCTGCCTTCCCAGTGATTTCAGATAAAGGTATAAGTTCAGCACTGAGGAAATGAGATCAGAATAAGGGAGGCAAATTGGAAAAGAACAGCTTCTGGGTTCTTCTCGGGGCGTTGGAATTGCCGGGCTACCTCCCTTTTGAGGACTCACCAGGTAGCAGGCAAATGTCTGTAATGTGGGTCTGTTGCTGTTTGCTTGTTTGTTTTTTAATTGTACACCCTGACTCCTACAAATACCTATAACAACACAACCTAATACGTTGATCATATAGCAACAATCCTTTCTAATCTAGGGAGTGGTGGACATAAAAATGGCAAGGAATTTTTTGTCCTGCTTTTACAATTTTATGCACTATGGTGGTTGGCAGTTTTATTTTGGCCTGATTCCTTGCAGGGAGCGTTGTCAACCGTGGAAGACAGAAAACAAAGACCAGACTTAAACCAACCATTAGTACATGCTGCCTGTTTCCTGGCTGGATAATGTTACAAGAAGGGAAGGTATTCTATTCTTACTCAGGCTCTGCATCGAGGATAAGTTTTGCATTTCAGAGTGGAAGACTAATAAGTGATAGAGACAACAGGGCTTGGTCAACAACTTGGGTATGAATCACCCAGGTAGCAGAGGGGGAAGCTGCCTAGAAGGAAATCTTTGCTTCTGAACCTCATCCAGGCAGCCCTACTGGGTCCCTCTCTCATTTAACCTGAGAGAACTTAGTTCAAGAAATACGTTCATTCTGTTCTTGCCTCAAGAAGAGCTACTGATCATTTTATGGTTAAACAAATCCACAGAAGTTTCTTCGAAGTGAATTTCACTGTGGATGATTCAGAAATTGCTGATGATGGCAAGGAGAGGGTAGATTTTCTTATGGGTTCCTTGATAACTTTACAAATGCATCTGATTTTCACAGCGAATGCATGTTTTCATAAATGGAAACAAATAAAACAGTAGGCAAGGGCTTTTTCAAATGCTTGCCAAGTACATTAAACACACAAAAGTACATTCACAGCGAAAGTTGGTTGAAAACAGCTGTTTTAAAGGATTTTTGTTGAATGTAGTTAACAGCATCATCATTATAAGGCCTGAAGCAAACATGTTACTGATTACACCCCATTAAGAAATTGGAATGCATTCCCCCAAGGAAACACCATAGCACATGCTATTTGAAAATAACAACCAGCTCCAAAACGCTCAGCTAAGACTTTGTTACGGATTGTGCAGCCTATCTAATAAAGATAAAACTCTCAGGAAAATGAGAGTACATCTTATCTTAACTAATCAGAATATTTTTCACAATATTGTTTGAGTGGAGGTTTCCTTGGCGTCTTTCACCTTTTCCCCAAGCTGGCTCTGTTTACTGCAGTCACACACTTGTAGCTGAAATTCTACAAGATACCAGATATGAAGGAAGTTCGGAGATTCAACTTGCTATTGCATGCAAATTCAGCTGACCATTTGTTTGAATGTGAAACTCTATGTAGTTCTAAGTCAGCTTCTTATCAAATGTTGTTTATCCTGGGAGCGCAGAGTATTCTTCAGGTGGGACAGAAAGCTCTGGTGGGGTCTGTGGGACATGGAAAATTTAATAAGGACCATGGGATTAGGGCTCTGAGAAATAATGTTCATGTGTTGAAAAGGCACTGTCAAAACGCCACAGAAGCAGGGCTGCAGAGCGTCTGCAGCTCAGCTGTTATTGTCCAGCCTGTGTCTGTGCTGCCTGTCCACCATGGCACAGACACGGCTCTACAAACACTTTTCATAATGGCCCAGAAGCCTCCTGAGGGCCCTGGGGAGTTAGGTAGAGAGGAATTCAAAGTCCAATACTCGGTAAGAAGAAGTTAAAAAAAATTTTTAAGGCTTTTATAACTTTACACACATCTGAAAGAGAGGTCAGATTTCTCCTGGTGATGAAAGAGTCACCGCTGGGGACTAACCTCCTTTCACACCATGGGGGCCACACCATGGATCCTGTTGTGAAGGGCAACCTCCCCTCTCCCACTTCCTGAAAGGTGGGGTCACTGCCCGAGATGGTGAGGAGGACTGCAATGTCCATGGAAGTACTGGTGTCTTATATACATGTAAAACTCAGTGATAATTATGGCAACACTAACATGAGAAATTATATGATAATAAATTAAGAATTTTGTAGTTATTATTTCACTGTGTCATTCACCTTTGACTCCTAGTGATGGGACTTTTGATGAGTGCTTTAAGCTTTGTGAACCTCTATGTCCTTATTTTTTACAAGAGAATTATAAGACCTATCATATACAACTTTTGTGAGCAGCACATTCTTAGCATATATATATGGATATTTATCTATACATTTGTATATACACACACATTTGTGTGTGTGTGTGTGTGTGTGCGCTCATATACTTTAAAAAAAGGATGTCAGCATTGCTTGGAGATTCAGGGCCTATTTGAAATTTAAGATTGTGAGAGAGGCCTAATTATTTGTTAAAGGGGAGAATGTTCCTGGGAAAAATCCTTCTCCTCCACCAGTTTGGAACTTTGGAGACCCTCAGGATTAAGCTGAGGGAAAAATAGACTTCTTAGGCTAGAGTGCATCCCTGCCCAGAGTGATCAGGGATCCTAATCTCAACGCTCAGGATTCCCAAGACCACGAAGGAGGCTGCTAGAATGTGACCCCGTGGTTTCCGAAAGGTAATTATACATGCCAGATGGCAGTATCTGGGAGCAGGCGGTATCGTAAATGCAGTTCCCTGTGTCGTAACCTAAACTTCATTTTCCCTTATCGCATGGTTCTTGGAGTGTGGAAGGCTCTCCTTGGGCAGAGTCTTGATGGGAGAGCTCTGAACTCAGCAGAGAAGACTGGGCACAAAGCCTGGCACCAGCAATTGGCCTGTGCACCTGAAGGAACTATTTCGAATGGGACACTCTTTACAAAGCACCTTTTGTCCAGGCTGACAGTGAGTGTGGGGAAAACTAGTGGAAATGGTGATAAGTTTATTACACCAAAACTTTGATGTAACAGATAAATCTATTATTGATAACACTGCAACCATGAGTCTTGGGAAATGTTTTTGATAACATGACACAAATATTAGTATTACCAACTATCAGTAGAAGCCATTTGCCAGAAAAAAAATACAGGTGATTTTGAACAAAGGCAATGGTGATAGGGGCCAGCTAAGAGGCCAGGTAACTATGTAACTCTATCACCATTTCCTTTTTCAATGAATTGTGGGCAAGGTAAATAATTTTAAGGAACCTACATGTAAATGCATTTCAGAAATAATTTCACTACTTAGAGTAAAATTGATGTATTGTCCATTAAATATGAGAGAGATGCCAGTAAAATTGTACCCAGAAATTCTGGAGATGAGATCTATAATTAGAAATTTCATCTTCACAAATGAAAGTGAGCTGGGAGGTACATTCTTTATCATATGAGTATTATTCTGTCTTATTATTGTTTAAATAATTGAGGCAATGTATTATTTTTCCTGGCAAGCAAGCTATTTTTTTCTTATTATACAAATAATTATCTCTTTTTTTTTTGAGATGGGGTCTTGTTCTGTCACCAGGGCTGGAGTGTAGTGATGCTGCCACATCCAGTTAATTTTTAAATTTTTTGCAGAGATGAGGTCTCACTATATTGCCCAGGCTGGTCTTGAAGCCCTGGGCTCAAGTGATCATTCTGCCTTGGCCTCCCAAAATGCTGGGATTACAGGCATGAGCCACCATGCCTGACCTCTTTTTTTGTAATAAGTGTATTCATTTTCTTCCATAAACCCTCATCCCTTTCTCCCTAAATTCTGTAATCATTTACTGAACATCTATTATATTCTAAGTGCAGTTTAAGTTACTAGAGAGAGATAGAGAAAATAGGTTGAATCTCTGATCCTGAGCAACTCATATAACTTCTTTTGTTCGAATTCTAGATGTGATTGAAGTCAGCATATACTTTGAATAACATTGTCCCCATGGAAAAAAAAGTTTCTCATAGAAATTACCGTAAAAAAGGGATCTCTCAAGTGGGTGGCCATATGCCAGTGGTTGCATTGGGGCACAGAAAAAAAAAAATTAAGAACTGTTTCTACTGTTATACACTCATATTTTTATTTGGATTTATCAATATACATATTATTATATCATATTATATATTAGTACAGTAGCATAATTGATTAATTTATAAATAAATATATTAACATATTGGAGGTGCACACTCAACAAATTTTATTGATGGGTATGTGATGATAAATGCTTGAGGACTACAGCTCTAGATTACATTCTTAATGAGGGCAAAGGGCCTGGCCATCTTGTTTGGCCTTTTACTGTGAATGGCAGCGTCGGTCACATTTGGGCACCTAATAAATATACAGCAAAGAATGAATAAATGAGTAAATAAATAAACAAATACTTTCTCTTTCCTTTACAGCTGCTAAATAAAAGTGGTCTATTTAATAAATTCATTATTCATAGCATGTGGCAATGTGCTAGACAGAATATATTTTATAAAAGACCCTGACACAGACATGTTATCTTCTCCCTAGATTTGGGGTCTAATTGTAGGTCTATGCAGCATATCTGGGGGGATACCTTCTTCAGGGTTTAGCAACTCGATATCCCTCAAATCGCACTTCATGGGCTACTCCTGTGCATATTGCTTACTTGCTTGACCTTGAAAATAAGGTACTGTGGAGTCAACACTTGAAGGAATCCAAGAAGGTTATCTGGTTGATCTCATTTCCTTTCTGGATGAGACAATACAGACAAATAGGCTTATACTCTATTTTAAACAATTCTATATCCTCCCCCAGGAACCTAATTAAGTGCTGGAATTTGGGTTTACTTTTAGAGATAATAGATATTTGACCAAGAAAAAAATATGGTAATGGTAAGTTCCTTAGGTTTATCGAATATTCAGTGCTTAACATTGTTATTCTTTCTCCTCTTCTTTGTTTCAGTAGAGAGGAGGATGTAGGTTTTGTGAATTCATAGAAAGCTTGGAGGTTGGCAATATAGTCCCAAGGAAATAATGTGCAAAACAACAACAAAAACCCAGGTGACTAAAGTTTTGATATTTTCTCTGCAAATGCATTCCTTTTACCACTTCCATATTTACGGTTCAATTAAGTCTTTTTTTAAAAAAAATTTTTTTTTGAGACAGGATCTCATTGTCACCCAGGCTGAAATGCAGTGTTACAATCTCAGCTCACTGTAGCATCAACCTCCTGGGCTCAGGTGATATTCTAATCTCAGCCTCCCAAGTAGTTGGGACTGCAGGTACATGCCACCACACCCAGCTAATTTTTGTAATTTTTTATAGAGATGGGGTTTTGCCATGTTGCCCAGGTTGGCTTTGAACTCTTGAGCTCAAGCTATCCACCTGCCTCAGCCTCCCAAAGTGCTGGGATTACAGGCATGAGCCACAATGCCCAGCCCTCAATGAAGTCTTTTGCAAATAAATCAAACATATGATTTTGATGCATGACAAGACAAGCACAATGATAAAAATGAATTTAAATCTATCTGGGATCATGCTTTAGAGTTCACAAAGCATTTTCACACAATTTATCACAGTCTCACTCTTACAGCCAATCAGTATATGTTTCCCAATTTTGTGGAGAAGAAATGAAAATTTCAATAAGTAAGTGACTTAACCAGGGTCCCGCTATTTCTACACCCAGAGATACTTCCTCTACGTTAGTACTCCTCAGATGGCAATGTGAATGTGATTTACCTGAGGTCCTTGATTAAACGCAGAATCCGATTCAGCATTTCTGGGGTGGGGATGGAGATTCTGCATTTCTCACAGGTTTCCAGTAGGTGATAATGCTTTTCTCCAAAGATCACACTTTGAGTGGCAACATTCTACATCATAATTGGTTCCTATGTGACGTGATTAAAGATAACCATGCAGAGTAGCTTTGTGCAATGTGTTTAGGACATTCCAAGCCAAAGGCTTTGAAATTGGTTATGACTGGTTCCTGCGGGAGGAGAGCAATCATAATACCACGAAGAGTTAATCAGTCATTCTCCTTTCTAAACTTCTCTCAAATATGTTCTCTTCTCGATTTCACTTCTGCTGCTTCCATTCGAGCCATCTGTGTCTCTCTGCTGGGCCATCACAACAGCCCCAGATTGTTGGCATCTCTTATTTGCCATCAGCCTCTCCCACTGGCATCAGTTCTTTCTGTCTAAAATACAATGTCATTATGCTGTTCCCACCTTTAAAGGCCCACAATGGTGTTCAATTTCCAATATGATCAAATGCAGTTTTTGAGCACAGCATATTAGGGACTTCACAGTTTGACCTGTCCCCTTCATCCATACCTCCAGCTACAGCCTACACTGTGGCCACAACCCCTCCCTATTTAGCTTTAGACACTGTATTTCATCTACCCCAAACATCTCACATTTTCCAATATAGTGTGCTTGCTCTTTTGCTTCCATGGAATTTCATTTCTAAATCTGTTCTATTTCTTTACTAGATCTAGTGACAAAAGTTTTTACAATCTAGTGAGATAGCAGGAAATGTTCCTTACATAAATATTTGTTGAATGAATACACTAGATGCCTGATATAACTACAATCATTGTTGGATTAGTATGTGAGGTTGGTAAATAGTTACAAAACTGGAAAATAAAATAAGTAGGCTTGGATATTTGCCTGGATTTCACAAAAAGATTGTTAAAGGTAATCATATTATGGTTAAAGAATGCATGGAAATTGCAGAGCAGTTTATTTAGCTGATCTTGACCAATGGCATGCTTACAGTAAAAGCAAAGGGAGGTCCTAACTCTAGATTGTGCCTCATCCCGTGGCATGTTCCACAGACATTTCTTTCCCTTCTTGCCAATTTATTTCATTCAGAAGAGTAACAGTCTGGGTGACATGACTGATAATGTTAGCTGGCCCATTTGTATTTCTCTCCTCTGCTTCTGTTCTGCAATTTCTGTGAGACTGCTGTTCATTTCTGAGATCTCCATGAAAGAACTTTAAAGGGTGGTGCTTTTAAAAATCTTGACCCTTTTGTAACAACAATGAAATATCAGTCTTGTGTTTGCAAGCAAAATAGCAGAGCTTTTGCCTTTGGGGAAGCAAGAGAAACGACAATAGCCAAAGGGGGCAGTAAGACTGTTCTGTTAGAACATCAGTATTCGTTTTTGTTAAAAAAAGAAAACAAAACAGCAAGTTGCCAGAGAAGCTAATTGCTAAGTAAAATGTAGATTGAATATTGGGCAAGATGTTAAAAACATGTTTGAATAAGTAAATATTAACTAAACAATTAGCAATAGATTTGATTATGCTACATGAAACAAAACGGTATGTGTATAAACACAAAGCCACATACATGCACAAACGTGTAAAATATCTTTAATTTTCAGGAATGAAATTCTCTAGCTTTTCTATTATCAGGAATCTAGAAGTTTCCCTTTTCTTCTTTTGCTCTCTTCTGCTCCCCAAATTTCCCTTTCTGTTCTACTACTACCTACTTACCCGCTTTCCCTCCTCTTTTCCTCCCCTCATTTGTAAAACATATTTCCCACTGAACAACTACGTAACAAGCAACTTACTCTGGTCTTTTTTGTGTAGTGGGGGGAAGGAGGGGAATGTGGTGAGGAAGAAACTGACCCAGCTAATTCCAATGTTCCAGACAGTGAACAAGACATTGGATTCTAAATATAAGACAAAGGCATGATTCAAACCTCAAGAAAGATTGAGATTTGGGGTCAGGAGCCCTAAACCAATTCTAAGTTGTGAAGATCCTGGTTTATTATGGTGGTGGTTGATGTGAGGAGGAGCAAAGCTCCTGCCTAATTTGGAGAGAATGCTTAGAAATTGAAAGTAGAGACCAAGGTAGAAACACATTTGAGTGAACTAAGCCAAATCTGAATGAATGACTTCTTAATCTAACCTAAAATTGTATCAAATGATGGGGGCATAGTTTTTATCCCTTTCATTCAGAAGTGACTCAGCAAGCACTCCTGAGCCTGCCTAGGCCAGAGCACAGTGCAACATAGTTCATATTTGGAATGTTGGTGCTTTCAAAGTACTGAATGTTTTTAGTGTCTCCACACCTCTGGAAAAAACTGGACAGTTCCCAATATATGACTTGTCTCTTCAAGGTTAAATAAATGCTCAAACAGTGAATAAGGCAAGGGACCGACCAGAAGGAGCTTGAGTTCGTCATGCATCAGGAACCTTCATTGCTCCCTTTGGACTGTGCTGGCCAAGACTGCTAAAGCATTTCCATTGACTATTCAGCTCTACCTTTTCCTTATGTTGTTGTCTGTCATTCTAGTACATTGGTTATCAGACAGATTATGAGAGAATTAAGATGAAGAATCTTGTAGTTATATAGATGAACCTGATAAAACTTTCCAGCTAACCTTTGGAAACCATCCTTAGCAGGTACTGTTTCTGAGATTATTTGAAAGCTTTAATTTTCTATGTTGGCTTTTATGTTACAATTCTCAAAATAAATTTGGAAGCCACCAAGTTTTTACTGCATTCATTTGGTTTACTGCATTCACTGTGGTTTAAAGTTTATATTCAACTACTAAAAATAAAATTGATCCCAGTTAAAGGCATTTAGGACTGGATCTAAATGACTTGTAGAACTGGACTTGTCCAATATGCAGACTGAATAAATCACCAGAGATTTTTGGCAAGATCAAGGCCTGGCTTGGGTTGTGCATGAAATTCCGATGATAGCCCAGGAATGTCAGGAGGCTTAAGGCTAATGTGGTCCTTTTAAGAGAGAGTGAGAAATAAGAGAGAATTTCTGTATATGTTGGTACAGAGCCTGATGAAAAACATGAAGAAAATGAACAAATAAGATCCCTATACATTGTTATTAGTTAAGGCGTGCCATCATTCATTCAGTGAATGTTTCTGGAGAGTTCACTTTGTTTCAGGAATTGTGCTTGATACTGTGTTTGTAAATATAGCAACTGTTTTATTTCTCTACTAAGTTGGTCCACTTTAGAAACTTTGAACCAGGAACTTCAGGGTTAGGAAAGAAAACTCTGAGACGTCCATGATTAATGGAATGGATTTGCGCTTTTCTGGAGCAGATGGTACAGGGGCATCTCTTTGGGAGAAACCCTGGTTGGAAGTCAAGAAGAATGTTTTGCGGTGTGAGTTCCCTTGTTACAGTCATATTTAATAGTTAGAGCAGAGTTCACATCTGGGACCCCTTGGAGAATTAGCCATTGTGAGAACAGTGAACCAAGAGGAAACCAAAGTAATAAATATTGGAAGGCTTGATCTGATCTCTTGCCTGTCTTCAAAGGAAGCTTCATTTGTAAAGGACATGCATGATCATGAAGAAAGGACCCCCATTAGGCAATGTGGAAATAATAAAAGACTATGTCCAAAGTCCCTGGTATAGGGAGGTTAGGGGACTGGCTCTGTGCTCAACTGGGAGAGTGATGGAGCTGGACTAAAATTCATCTTTGGTTCCCTTTTCAGAGTCCTCTGCTTCATAGAGCACAATTCTTTCGTTTTAGGCTACATTAAGATTTATCTGAAAAAAACTTCTGCATAGAAACAGAAGAATTAGAACCTGATGAGACAGTTTATGCTCATTCGACTTTGTTTTTTCTCTCTTAAGTTTTTCTTTCTTAAGTAAGAAAGTGTTTCTTATCCCTTTTTTGTTTTCAGGGAGGTAGTATGTTTGAGCTCCTCCTGTGCTTACGGAGTCAAGAAGAAAATGAACTATTCTTGAATACCCTTGAATACCCTTCACCTGTAATACTAAGGATGAAGACCAGAGAAACACATTGAGGCAGATATAATATACATACCCATTTTCTCTCTTACTCTATAATGCTGCCTGATGTAGTTTGAAAGTATCCTCATAATCTAAAAGAGGGGAAGTAGCCTCATGGAGTGAAATCCTGGTACTCCTAGAAAATTATGACAGCACTTGTGTGTGTGTGTGTGTGTGTGTGTGTGTGTGTGTGTAACATAAATTAGCTCATGTTGTATGTCTTTTTGCAGTTTGTGTTTTTCATTAAATATGTTGTGCCTTATAATAATAGTAGATACTTTATATAATGCTCACTCTGTGCTACGCACTTGCTATGCACTTTAGAAACTTCAAATTATTTAATATAGGCTTGCTACATTGTTTTAAATTACATTTAGTTTGGTTAATCTCTAGTTTTTGGATATTTAAGGTGATTACATTGTTTTTTGTTTCTATAAACAATGCTGCACCAGATCTTCTTATGCGTACCTTCTTGGATAAGGGTGAATGGTTGCAAAGGCATAAAGAAGATCTAGTACACATCACCTGATAACAGTGGTTGCCTTTGAGGAGAGGGAGCAGACATAGATTGAGTTGTGGTTCTAGGGGCTTTAGCTTCATATGTCATGTTGTAGACTTTTTTTTTTTTTTTTTTTTTTTGAGGCAGAGTCTGGGTCTGTTGCCCAGGCTGGAGTGCAGTGGCATGATCTCAGCTCACTGCAACCTCTGCCTCCCGGTTTCAAGCAATTATCCTGCCTCAGCCTCCCGAGTAGGTGGGAAAACAGGCACGCGCCACCGTGCCTGGCTAATTTTTTCTATTTTTAATAGAGACGGGGTTTCACCATTCTGGCCAGGCTGATCTCAAATTCCTGATCTCAGGTGATCCTCCTGCCTTGGCCTCCCAAAGTGCTGGGATTACAGGCGTGAGCCACTGCGCCCGGCCATAGGACATTTTTAAACAAAAACATAGTCTCGTATTACTTGTGTGTTAAGATTATTTTTAAAAATAAATGTAAGGCTTGAAGTCCTTAGGCACATAACTTAACCAACCTGATCTTTTTACCCCCCACTTTCAAAATACCACCTACCATAAATACTTGATGTGTGGCTATGGCAGACAAATGCAGTGTTATATGTTACCATTGCTTTATAAAGTGCTAAATATATTCAAGTGACTCTTATTCTAACATAGCTAGATTTCAGTCATCAGTAAAGGCACCTTAGAATCCACAAGAAGTAAATATGCCAGTGAGCATTCCCTAGTTTTAACAAGGCTATCATCTGCGTTAAAAAAAAGAATACATGTTGTGTTAGTAAGAATTCAATTCAGCATGGGAATTCACATATAGCTTTGAAATTTCATATTTACTTATGTAAATACCAGCCCTCTTAATTTATTACAACTTTACTTGTTAGAATCAGGAGTACTTTTGAGAACTGGTATTGTGTCCAGCATTGCCAACCCATTTAATCTGTAACTCACATGGTATAGTTTCTGGAGCTTTGTTTCATATAGCTGTTATAATTATATCATGTGAACACCCTGAACCTGTGAGCATGGAGGCACACACATGATCAAATTGTAGCAGTAAAAAAGAAAAAAGAAGAGAGTGAAATTAAATAGTGTATTTTAAATTGCCATTTGCGTATCATTAGAAAACTAAGATATTTAGCAGGGTAACAATGTTCCAGCACAGGTGACCTTGGAACATTATCAAATCTTCCTGCTCACAAGATATAGCATACTTTAAACGCCCTAGGCAGGAGACCTTCCAAAAACAGACCCAATGACAACACCTAGATAACCATTTCAATCCTAAATAAATTTCAGTGATAAAAATGTGTATAAATATCTAACCCTATGAGGATAGAAAATGTATAGTTGGCTCCTTTCTGTGTAAGAATGTTCCCTTCTGCAGCAATCTGTTTTGAGATCAGGTCAAATGTTGCCAGTTAGTTTTGATTTCCTGGCTTTTTAAAAGTCCTTGTCTTAATGTCACTACTCTGGGCCATTCATACTATTTTAGCAGGTCCTATGGTAAGCATTTCTCCATATAAGTACATGCTTTGAATAACTCAGAGGGGAAACACACACACACACATTTGTGCCTTTTCAGGTAAAAGGACTTCAATGAGAACTCTGCTAGAAACTTTGCTACCTAGCCTAGTTATTGCCCTACCTGTTTTCTGGAAGAGATTTTTTCCCTTCTAAATAAGGATTGAGCCAAAGAAAGAATAAAGGTTCTTTATGGTTTAAATATGCCACTCCCTCTTGTGCACTTTTATGGAGTGATGCCTTTTATTTTAGTTTATATTTTATATCTATGATTACTTCAAAGTCTATTAAGCTCTGGAATAAGAGATGCCCAATAGAACTTTCAGCAGTGCTGAAAATGTTCTGTAATCTGCACTGTTCAATGTGGTAGTTGCTAGTCCTATGTAGCTATTGAGCACTAGCGTGAGTGAGGAACTTAATTTTTAACTGTATTTTAAAAAATTATTTCACTTTAAATTGTCATATGTGGCTAGTTGCTACCGTATTTGACAGTGCATTTATAGATCATTTTATCACATTCATATAGGACTAGAGAAACTTCAACATTTATATTGTAGACTTTTCATAAGGAAAACTACCCCCTTTAGTTCTATTTAGCATTATTTAATGTGCCTCCAGAATTTGAATTCAAACCCTATTCTCCAGGGTTTGTTTTGCTTCAACCTTTTGATTTCTTCCTGCTCAACCCCTGTGCTACATTCAGCTAGTAGGTATTTTTGGCAACTTAGATCCAGAAAACAGTGTAGTGCTAAGAAATAGGAAAATATACTTAGTTCATGATATACATTACAGAATGGCCTTATTAGATTTCTTATTCTCATTATCAAGTTTACATTATCACGTAAAACAAGTGAATGTTTATTGAAAGTGTATCTTTCCTCTATTGAATATCAGGCAGACTTTTAAATTGGCAGTACTCCTCACTCATTTTTAGGAAGCTTTGGAGGCCAGGCACAGTGCCTCATGCCTGTAATCCCAGCACTTTGTGAGGTCGAGGAGGGCAGATCACCTGAGGTCAGGAGTTTGAGACCAGCCTGGCCAACATGGTGAAACCCTGTCTCTACTAAAAATGCAAAAATTAGCTGGGCGTGGTGGCATGTGCCTGTAATCCCAGCTACTTGGGAGGCTGAGGCAGGAGACTCACTTGAACCCGGGAGGCAGAGGTTGCAGTGAGCTGAGATCATACCACTGCACTCCAGCCTGGGCAACAGAATGATACTCCATCTCAAAAAAAAAAAAAAAAAAAAGCTTTGGAGAGGTGTGAGTCATTCCTGCCTGTTGAATTTTAGCTGTGAGCTGGCTTAGTGGCCTCCACACAGCCATGATAGCACACAGGGACAAAACCATCCTCTTCAAGGGTTTCCAAGAGCTAAATTGCCAGTAAGTAGGAACTTCTTGCTGCCCTATGGGGCCTTTGAATGTGATTAGGATGAGCAACGATTCTACCCAGAAGTGGGTAGAATGTTGACGCAGTAAACATGCAGATTACTCGCTGCATACACCCTAGTCTTCACACACACCGCCTAAGATAAAACTGCTATAGAGAAACCGTAGCATTCCCAAGCCCTTCTCTCCGGCTCCTTCTCTTTACTTAGAGGCCAACCAGGATGCGCAGAAAACATAACTGATACCACTTAGATAATTATTGACTAGTTTTAGTGTTGATGGGGGAGGTTGAATTCCTTTTCTCTTCCTGGTTATATTTCACTGATGCAATTTGCTTATTTCTATGTGGAAGCATGATGGTTTTTACTCTTTGTGATGAGAACTTCAGCGACTGCAACAAAGGTAATTTGGTAAAGTGCTCCTACACAGCATATATGGCTTTAACATTTTGAACTATATCCTTTTTAATCTATCTCTGTGATTTTGAGTATGCAGGTGGTGGTGGATATACAAAATCATATAGTGTATTTTGTATACCCTTGCTTTGTAACAAATGTTCTGATGCCTTATTTGTGGCAAAGGGATGTTATAGAAAATGTGTTCTAAGTGCCCACATAAAACGGCATGTGGGCAGCTGAAATACGACCAACTCATGCATGCATTCCTCTTCCTCTTGAATCCTTGGAAAGTATCTCAATTTCCTATTCTGTAGCTGACTACCTGTTTTTCATATTTCTGTGTTTGGAGGAGGTAGATGCTTCAAGCAGGAGTTAAGGGGATGAGGTGTTTCTCCTTGGCCAGCTTGCTGTCCTCTCACCCTTGCTCCAGCTCTTTCCCGCAGTCCTCCCTGCCTCCCCTCCTCTGCCCTCACCAGATGTGGTGAGGTCGAGACCTCCTGCACCCAGCCAGTGCCCACCCTATGACCCTTTTCTTTCTATTTGAAAAGTGTGAGGGATGGGGTAAGGGGAATGACATTGCCAGACAAAGAGAAGTTTTTCAAAAGTGTATGTGCAACTGAATGTGCAGCCAGTGACTTTTGAAGGTCACAGGGGCCGGCCAGGTGTGTAAATGATTTGCTTTCTCCCTTTCTTAACATTCTTATTGGGAAGTCGTCATCCACACCAGCTTCTAAGATGGTCTCCTCAGCATTCAGATGTAATTTAAAATGTATACCAGGACCATGTCAGAAAACGTTTTAAAGATTATCTTTACATATATTGTCCTCATTTGCTATTATGTTTCTTTAATAATATATAATTTTTTTTCTATGACCAGGTTCCTTCTGCCCCTATTTCTTTTACCTCAAAACATTCTGGGGACAATGTAAAGAAAGCTACATTGAGTTTGTCTCACTAACCAGTTGTGTGGTGCACTGAGAGGGCTAAGGTGACTGCTAAGGTTTTCTGTAGCTCCAGGAATCTGTGATTCAATTCCTTCCAGAGCCTATGTCTCTCCCCAACTCCCATGTTAGCCACTTCTCTTTGACTCCCATGAATCATGTTAGATCTCCAGTAGTCTCTGGGTCCTACTCTGGGAACTAAGGCACTTTCATGAGTCTCAGGAGAGACTCCTTTGCGTTTAACAGTGTGAATTCACCCTGCCAAAGGGTTAATCTTCCAAGACTAAGTGCAAGCTGGGTAAAATAAGCGAAGATCAATGGTTGAACCCTGTCATGAGTGGGGTATTCGATCATGCAGGTTTCCAGCCAGATTTTTAGAAATTTGCATCACAGAAGTCACCTGGGTGTCACACTCTGAGGAACGCTGGGTTAATGTGTGGTGAACAGAAATATCAAGTTTATGCCTATAGGGTAGTTTTCATTGGTATGAGCTTAAGCACAGAAAAATGGCCTTGATGGTGTTAATTTTTTTATGGGCAGTTGCACGATGGCTGGTCTCGGAATGTTAGCTGCACTGTTGCAGAACTAAAAATGTTACCCTGAGACATTTTAAGAGAGTAATAAATATCTGGTTTTAAAACACAGACTTTATTTTTTTCTGGAAAATTCTTTTTTTAAAATTTTAAGTTCTAGGGTACATGTGCACAATGTGCAGGTTTGTTACATAGGTATACATGTGCCATGTTGGTTTCCTGCACCCATCAACTCGTCATTTACATTAGGTATTTCTCCTAATGCTATCCATCCCCCAGCCCCCAACTGCACCACAGGCCCCGGTGTGTGATGTTCCCTGCCCTGTGTCCATGTGTTCTCGAGTTCAGCTCCCACCTATGAGTGAGAACATGAGGAAAACACAGACTTTAAAAAATTATAAACTTGGAAAGTCTTTTTTGGTTATTGTTGTTGTTTTAATATCAGAGTGTTAAGGATGCCTTTTCCTTTTGTGGCTTTCTCCATAAGCAATTGCTTGGCTTGGTAATTTAGCGATTATTTGATTGTTGAAACATTGGGTATTTGTGCTTTAACAAAAATATGCCTGGTGATGAGACTGTGTCCTTTTATCAGGATAATCTGGCTTCATGATGTGAAGACGTGGCTGTGCTCAGGGCTGGGGGCTGCAACCCCTGCTGTACTGTGCCAAGGATAGTCCTTTGATGTAGAGGGAGTGGTTCCCAAGAAGGGCAGGTGTAATTTCCAGACCTGGATTGCATGAGTTTGATGCATACTCAGGAAACTAACTGCAACCTTAGTGGTGCTTTGGGAGATAGTTATACCATGGGAATTGACTCCCTTCGGAGAAATCGGACTTGTCTTTGTTACTGTCTACGTGGAGTGAAGTGCTCAGGCCAGGGAAAATTGTATCTCACACTTAAATATGGACAAGAAGGACTCAAACTCTTGTCAACATCTTCAAAACATAAAAGCAGTATTACAAAAAATTTAAAAACCAGCAATAATTTTTACTAAAGTTTTGTTTGGCTCTGCTAATCACTTTTCTTATAGCTTCAACTTTTTCTTGATTAATATTTTACCATGAATTTGGGCCAGTTATTGCATAGTCTGTATGATTATTATTGTACTTAAGTATTAGTCCATCCAGGGGCAATAATTTACTTATTTTTCCCTCTAGTGTTAGTTACTTGCATGGTTTAAATTTATACGATTAAATTTAACACCACCATGACAACAACAAAAACCCTACTGAATGTAGCTTTACCTATTGTTGATATGTATTTAAAGTAAATTTCCAGCAGTAGAATTATCAAGATTGTAAACACTTTAATATTTGTATACATATTATAAAATTTCTGTTCTTGCTTTCTGAAAGGGTTATAACAGTTTTCAAAGCTTTAGGATATAAGTGTATTTTACCTGCACTGAGTTTAATATTTAACATAAATATGTTTAATATATAAGTTGTGGAATTATAATTAAATACATAAATATTATAAATTGCATATAAGTATATATAGATAGATAGATAGATACAGATATAGATATAATCTGGAACCTTAAATTCCTACTTCAATAATCCATGAAAGTGAGCAATTTTTTCACGTATTTAGGATTTATTTTTCACTTATTTGAATGTGCATTCCTGTCCTCTATTGTAGTTTTCATAAATTTAACCTAGCCACTTGGCTAGATACCAACCCATCATTTAAAAATGTATCACTTATTATCCAGATTCTGATACCAGACATATAGGCCAGAACACTGTCCCTTTCTTACCGGGATCAGTGAGTTTATAACTACTATACATTGTCCTTTTTTGTTGAGTGCGTTTGAATATGCACAATGAAATGATTATTTTTTAATGACTCTGTAAGGTAAATGCACAAAACACCTACACTTTGGGCCAAGTGAGTATGAAATACCTACACACACACACACACACACACACCTTTATATACGTATGCAGCTGTTAGAAAGCTAAAATTTGAACAAAAATATTTCTATTTTCCACTTAATGAATAATTATTGCCATAACACAAACCTACTCTCTTTTAAAGTTTGAATAAAATTGAAGAAACCAAAGGTGTTTATGTAATTAAAAATAGCACCAAAGAACTAAAATAATTAGCTTTTGGTGTTAGAGAAATCTTAAATGATTCAAGCACCTGCTGAAGACATACTTGGGTGCCAGAGATAAATGATACTCTCATTTTTCTAGCATTAAGTGAGGTTTAGTGAGGAATTCCTATTACAGAGAGCATGACTAGGATTTTTATTGAGCAGGAGGCCAACAAATTAAGAAGCATGTTTTAATTTGGCAAGATATTAACTGGAATCCAGTTGCATTTTCTGCCATGGCAAACCTACAAAATAAAGTGATACTTTTCATTCTTGAGTCATACCCTGAGTGCGTTTTGAGTTCATTGCAACTAAACTCAGTGCCTTCTAATTAAAGCGTTTTGTCCACATGTATTTGGAATTTGTTAGCAGGGAGATTTTTTTAAATAGGTGGTTTCTATTACAAGGAATCAGTCAACTGATTTTTTTTTTTTCTTTTTAAAGCTGTATACAGATACAGGATGGAGAAATAAGCAATCCTTTTCAAAGAGTTAGAAACTTAGCACGCTGACTTCAGCCCTCACTTAATCATTAACTTAATATGCTCCTTTGGGTAGATAGAGCATTCAAAAAAGTCTCCATGCCTCAGTGTATTAATCTAGAAAAGGAGAGCAGCAACATAATGGCAGGCTGACCACCTAGGAATAGCATGAGAACACGAAGGTAAACACATGGAAATGGGCTTTGTGTTCACCGAGAGGAATGCCATTCACAGATGCAAAGTGGTATTCAAAAACTAGTTCTCATAAGGTGCTTATTCTCTTTATTTCTTAAAGAACTCCTTGCTCCTTGAAAATTCAGACCTTTCATCTTACCAGGATAGGCTGGACTTGCTGCTGTTTACCAATTAAATCCGCTTAGTAATTAGAAACTGTGTGTCTTCCGCCCACCCCTCAATTCCCTCTCCCCACCTGAAACTCTTAAACAAACACTGGGTCTGTGACAAATGGTGCATTTTAATAAATGTTTTGTAAAGGCCAATTATGCAGTCAATATTGAGTTGTGCGATAGGAAATACAGCTGCTTGGCTATAGGGAAGACGTCTACATACTACTGGCATCTGTTTGGTAGGTAATGTTCTTAAATGGCCTGGCCTTTCTCCAGACTTTGATTATTCATAAATCTGTTGAGTGCGGTAAGTTGCACTATTAGCGTTTAATCTTTTATTGAAGCAAACTCAGGAGGCTGAAATCTATTTGCTTTAGCAAGCTTGTTCACTGATAAAAGTATGATGTAAAATTTTCCTTTTGTGAATTCCTCAGTACAAGAACAACACAGCTGGGCACAGCACAGATCATATTTATCTTTTCATTAACTAAAGTACAAGAAGATAGCATCATTGGAGGCTTATAAGAAGGGACTGCTAAAGAACAGTTCTCCTCCTGTTTGCATACCCACTTGAGAAAAGCTTTCCAAACAAGTATTTGAGATACTTGTGAGAAAAAGCTGGTTGACTTGTCCAAAGAAGACCAAGTGAATGTATATAAAGTGGTTGGATTTCAGATAACATTTTTCCCCTGAGTGTTTAGGTTGGTTAAATATTAGAGGAGGAGAGATAATAACACTGTTTGTCGCCATAAACTTAGACATACATCTTTTTTCACAAGGTTGGTATGAAAAGCTATCAAAGATTTTCCATCCCAGATGATTTAGTTTCAACTTGGTAAAGGACATTGTAGATGGAGAAAGATTGTTTGGATTGTTTCCAGGAACCTGGAAAATTTGTATAGAGTTTATCATAGATACAATTTTTTGCTTCTTGTGAATAACGTAATAACTAATTGGTTGTGTGGTGCTTATTTGCAATGTGCACTATACTTGGCCATCAGGGGACATCTTCCAGAATGAAATAAGTGACTTATGGCTTATATGTCTTAATGTAAATTCTTTAAGTGGGTGAGTAAGACAAAATTATGGGAGTCTTCTCTTCCTTTTCCTGCATCTCTGGATCATGAGGATTGTGATTATTCGTGTTTCTCTAGTTCCTCCAACCCCTGGTAAATGGAAAGCAACTGTTGGACTCTGAAAAAAAAAATGGACTATGCTAAAGATATGTTCTCCTTTTGTCTTTTCTATCACATCCCAGTAGTATTCAGGAAGGACTAGGGAGTATGGAGAACACAGAAGGGAGGCCCTTTTCCAGTCAAATGTAGCATTACTTCAATCACCTTGAGCTCAACTCTTGCCCAGGGCTGTCAAACATAGGCTAATGTTCCATCCCAGGGGTGAGGTTACTTTATTACCTACTGCCCACCCCCTCAGCCCCACAGGTCCCTTTCTTAAATAAAGCTAGAAGCAAGTAAGGGCAGCTCTTTCCTGCCTCCATTTACCTATCGTGGTCTCATTCCTGTTTCCTTAGGATCATCCAGCCCAACTCACTTATTTTATAGAGAAGAGACCTGAGGCCATGAGATGTAAAGAGAGGTTTTAAAGGCCATACGGTCTATGGAAAGGCAAAAATTAGACACCGGGTCTCAATCAACACTTTTTCAACTTCTCTATTATGTCTGTGTGAGTAACAGAGACCCCAAAAACAGTGGCTTAAAATTTAAAAGAAATCTGAAGACTGGCAGGCAACTGCTGGTATGGCAGCCCCATGATGTTCTCAGGAACCCTGGATCCTTCTAACTTCCTGCTGTAGTATCGTAAGGTGTGACCTTCAATCTCACATTCTCAACATGGTTGCAAATCGTCAGCCATGCTGTGCATGTTCTAAGCAAGAGAAAGCTAAAGAACAATGAAAATAGTGCATGTCCATAAGTCAGTCCCCTTTGAGGGGCTTTTCTGGAAGTCTCCACCCAATGATAACTACTCATTCTTAACTGAACCTAGTTGCAAGGCAATCTGGGAAATGTAGTCCATTCTTTCTTTCTCTTCCCTCTTTTTTTCTTTCCTTCCTTCCTTTTTTCCTTCTCTCTCTCTCTTTCCCTATAATGACCTGAATAAAATTGGATCTATTAGTAAGGTTTAAAAAAAAAGAAAAGGAATTGATATTGAATAGGCAACTTCTTGTCTCTGTGCCCTTATACTTCATATTAAGTAATTACTTTAGGATTTGGAAGCATAATAATATTTGACAGAAGTTTTTCCTTTAATAGTATGTCCTCAAATTGCCAGTATTAAAGACCAAATGTAATATGGGACAAGAAGTACAGATTGCTTTATGTGAGTGAAACAATGGGAGAAAGCTAAGAAACTATTGTCTCTGAACTGTGTTGGCTCTCCACGTTCAGTGAGACACTGGTTCTATTGTTGCCATTGGCTTGGAAGTGAGCCTGGAAACAAATACTGATGCTGACTTCACCTAGGTATGCTTCATAGATGACAACAAAAATCATTTAACGATTTAGAAGTAAATAGTTTGCTTATTTTGCCCTGTACGTTTAATGGTTATACCATTTTCAAACACTTGAAATTGCAACCCATGTTAAGTAACTTAGAACTTTGACTAACAATAGCATAATTACCCAGGTCTTAATGTGGGGAAGTAACTGTACTCATACACAACTTTACTAACAGATGTGTTTATGGGCAACACCAAGGAGAAGTTACTTGCAAATATCTCATTGGTCATGAGATTTATGATGCTGCCTGGCTGTCAATTTGTCTTTTACTAAGGTTAGTTTCCTTTTTTGAGTTAATTCCATTTATTTATGGTGATCTAAATGTAAAATAATTATTTAGAGTAGGAAATTATCAAAGTAAAAATCCTCCTTGATGTCTGACTGGCAGCCATGTTGCCTCATAAATAACACCCTGTGTGTATAGATTTTGTTCTTGACAGGATTCAGAGTAGAGAACTCTGAAGACATCAAAGAGATTTCAAGAAGCAATAATGCTAGAAGCCTCCCACATCTGGAAATCCATTAATGTTACTCTGTCCCCTGAGTAAAGAATGGCTTAATAGCACAGTACTGCTGCCTCGTACCTCCTTGTCCACTGACTACCACACTAGTACTGCAGAAGGGACAGAGGTCCTAGCGAAGGGAAAGGATTATAGAGAATTAGAATCTGATATGCCACCTGCATGAGAAAACATAGGAAGTACTGGGGGTAGAACACATCCTCTTGCATTAGATTTCTCCTAAAGCATGTGACTTAGTATGCGTTATTAACTTATTGTTTTATTCTCCCGCTTTTAGTGTTCCATTGTGCTCAAGGCTGGCCAGTGGCCTATGGGTTCCCAGCTCTCTGATGTCACACACTCCTTCATTCCAAATCTCTAGCTTGAAAAGAACCTTATGATGACACTATTCAACTTCAATCTTCCAATGATGACTTCTATGTCAAATACTAAACTCTCTCACTATTTTAAAAATGGATATTTAGAACTACAAATTAGAGACAATAATCGCAGTACATACTTTAGCAAATAATTGTTGCACTTTCTTGCTATAGAGAAGGATATTGCAAATATATTGATTTTCAAGTAATGGAGTTTCTTTGGAGCCCATCTCTGTCTGCCCACACAGCAAGGTCGGTCCTCTGTCTGCATTCCATCATGCCTGCCTGCCACATCTTATCAGTGCAGAGCCCTATGAAGAAGGTTCTATATATTAGCCACAACATGACCTATGTGGACAAGATCATCCTTAGTAATTACTCACTGGTGGAGAAGTGATTTAGAATGAATAACTCAACAATGCCATTATTTACCATATATCATAGCCATGGATAAGGTTAAAAAAAATCTTCCTTCAAATTCGGGTTGATTTATATATCAAGAATATTGGCAACTGAGCTTTATCTAACTTTTTTTTTTTTCTGTTTTGCTGCTGCTTAAGAAGATCTTAGTTGGTAGAGATCCTGACAGTTCCAGTTCCTGACTAATGTAACTACTCGAAGCAACAGTTAGCCCTGAGCACAGTCCCCAGCCAGGATCTTGGCAAGAGTCCATGGGAATAATCTCTTTCTCTTGGCAGCTGCCTGAACAGCAGTTTGTGGAAAGGACTGCTGTCAGTTGGCAGGATGAGGGTGGGTCTCTACAGCACATTAATTAATGCTTACTCTTTAGGTAGAAAGCTTCAGAAACTTGTATAAAATAAATAAATTAAGACAGTATAGTATGTGGTAATTTGGACAGTGTATTTGAAGCGGAGATATGTCTCATAGTTGGAAGGATGAGAGGGTACAAGAGAAATGGCCCCTGATTATTTATTTCCTAGGTATGTCAACTTCTCTGTATCTGCTTTCTTACCTGATTAACAAGGGTGTTGGATTAGAAGAATTCTAAGGCTCCCTTCCTTCTAGCATTCTGTGGCTCCATATGGACTAGATAGTCTCAGAAATGCAATATCTGCACTTGATACTTCGCTTTTTTTTAATTGATTTATAACACTGCTACTTCCACAAAGCACTTGAGGCATCTTGCAACTAAAATACCGATACAATAAAAACAAAGACATGTACAATAAGATAAATACTGAGAAGTAAAAGAAGGGAGAAAACAGTATATTCAATCAATTTTGATGAAAGCTAGAAGAAAGTATAGAATCTGTCTCTCAGCCTCCCATCAGCCAAGGCAAAAACAAAGATCAACAACAACATCAACAATAAACCACCACCACCAATTTATGGAAAAGAAAGTAGCAGCAGTGTTTATTTTCCCATTTTGGTTGTTAGGTTCAATTTTCCCCCAGGAATTTGGAAGTTAAGTAGTATGTCATAACATTTGGCAGAGTCCACTTAGATTTCAGGTTTTGATTCTAAGGACATACATCCTGAACCTAGAATACCTGTCATCTGAATCTACTCTGTATGGAAGTGATCATATTCCTATTCTATCTACTAATTAGCATCATTGTTTTTCTTATTTCTACATTTACTTTCACTACTGCTCTGGGCCATAGTGGGTTTTTTTTTTCCTTGTGGAATACAAAAATAATTTTCATTTGTTATCTTTCTACCAACATACTATATAATTTGAAATATTAAAATAAACCAGAAGTAATTTTATTTAATAAATATTTCATTGACAGTTTAGGATTTGTGCTCATATTTTCCCTACATCCCCAGTTCCTTCATGCTAAAACAAAAAGAAAGACATTACTATGTAAGCAAACAGGCCCTTTTTAGCTATTATAACCAATCTTTATTAACCTCTGATAGTCTAATTCCTATTTACTTTAAGACAATGAACTCAAAATTTTATTCAGTATTCACTAATGAAATTAATTGAGGCCTAGAATTACCATTTCCTATTTCATTCAACCATCCTATTCATAAGTAAAATAATGTTTAAAAATGAACTCTGTGTGTGTGTGTGTGTGTGTGTGTGCAAGTGCTCTGCGTATGATCAAAAGAGAGAGTCACACCTAGGAGTTCCTGTTCTGTCAATATTCGGTGGCAGGACTTAAATATCTTTCATCTTGGCAGGGCGCGGTGGCTCACATCTGTAATCCCAGCACTTTGGGAGGCCAAGGCGGGCAGATCATGAGGTCAGGAGATCGAGACCATCTTGGCTAACACGGTGAAACCCCGTGTCTACTAAAAATACAAAAGATTAACCGAGCATGGTGGCGGGCGCCTGTAGTCCCAGCTACTCGGGAGGCTGAGGCACGAGAATGGCGTGAACCCGGGAGGTGGAGCTTGCAATGAGTGGAGATTGCGCCACTGCACTCCAGACTGGGTGACAGAGCGAGACTCTGTCTCAAAAAAAAAAAAAAAAACATATATATATATATATATATATATATATATATATATATATATATATATATAGCATCTTGAAAAAAAGGCAACAAATAGCTAGTTTAAGTTCAGCTCATTGTTTAAGGTAATTAATGGGTTTTCTTGTTTTGGATCAAAGAAAAGACATGAGTAAGTGTTAGGGAAAGAGGCAGCTGAGCTGAAGTAGTGATTGTTTCTCAGTTCCATCCCCAGCCCTTGCAGGGGTAGCAAGCAGCCTGGGGCATCTTTAATGTAACTCCTTGCCTCCTGTATAAAAGATGTGCCTCTGTGGCAAAACAAAATAAATTCATTTTTTCCTGTCATTGTATTAATCACAGTAATTAATGCTAGCTGCCTCAACAGATAAATCTCATGGCTTCACACAATAGTTTATGTCTTAATCGATGTCTAATGCTAGGTGGTGGGGGGCTTTCTCCAGAAATGAGTTTGAGGACCCAGGTTTTCTTGTGACACTCCACTGCAATAAAAGGCTTCTAAGTTCACCCTGGGAGGAGAAGAGAATAATGGAGAAGAATCACAGACTCTAAAGAGCCCAGCCTAACGTGACCCGTGGCCTTCACCTACATTTCATTGGTCAAATTCCGTCCCACGACTCTCTATCAGGGCAAGCAGAGCTGGGGAATGAGATGAGTAAATGTAGGAATTGATACAGTATGGGAAAATTTGAGACAACTTTTTCTTGATATCTGAGAAGCATCTTGTGTAACATAAAACTGATTGCATGAGGAATTAGGGAGGGCTTCCCAGAGGAGACATTTTAGCTGAGCTTTTACATTTGAGTAAGAGTTTGGTCAGGAAGGGCATTTTAGGCGCAAAGCCTTATTCTCCTGTTGTGAGAATCAAATACCAAAATATGTGCCAGTGTTCTTTGAAATTAAGGTATATTGTTATTATTAAAATGCTATTGGTTAGCAACAGTCTTTGTCCAAAAGTGGCAAAGCTTTATTTTAAAAATCAGGATGTTACTATTAGAAGTCAGAATGTAAGCTCATTGAGAGCAGCTAATTTTTCTTGGCTCGTGTCCATTAGTTTATTCCAAGCTCCTAGATTGGGGCGTGGCACAGGGTAGACGTTCCATAAACATTTGAGCAAATTACAGAACTTGTAAAGGACTCAGTCCCACTTTCTTTTTCCTGCAAAGACTAGGGGCAATTGCTTCTGTTAAAATGGCCTCTTTGTAGCTACAGATAGCATGTTGAGTCAGTATTTAGAAAATGAATGTGCCTGTCTGTACTTCTGCATTTGTAAGCATAAAAACACACAGGTGGGCACTGCCCAGCAAGTGGTTAGGACCACGGGCACTGTATCACTGACATATTCTTCTTCTTTTGTCGTCTTCTTCTTCCTCTTCTTCTTCTTCTTTTCTCCTTCTCCTTCTCCTTCTCCTTCTCCTTCTTCTTCTTCTTGAGATGGAGTTTCGCTCTTGTTGCTCAGGCTGGAGTGCAATGGCACGATATCGGCTCACTGCAACCTCTGCCTCCTGGGTTCAAGTGATTCTCCTTCTTCAGCCTCCCGAGTAGCTGGGATTACAGGTGCCCGCCACCATGCCCAGCTAATTTTTTTGTATTTTTAGTAGAGACGGGGTTTCACCATGTTGGCCAGGCTGGTCTTGAACTCCTGACCTCAGGTGATCTGTCCACCTTGGCCTCCCAAAGTGCTGGGATTACAGGCATGAGCCACTGTGCCTGTCCCTTCTTTTGTTTCTTAATCTGCATGCACTTAAGAAAAAGATAATTGTGGCTAATTTATACAGAACTATAAACATCTCACATGAATCATTTGGTATGAGGCACAATTAGTCAATAAATATAGTGCTCCATGTATTTTAAAATCTATTCCCAAATAAAAACTAAAGAAAAATAATTTAGATGTATTAATAAAGAAAAAAATATTTTTATCTTTTAGAATATCAGTTTGTCCCTTACAGTAATGTAAAATTACATTTATTTTATCTTTAGGATATAACATCTCAAACAGAGGCTATTAACTTTTACACTATGTGTAAAGAAACAACTTGAGAGGCAACTTTATTATGCAACCACGATCATGAAGGGGATGAATAAACCAACTACTTAGAAAAAAAAGTGCTCTATTATCATGGAATGGTTTTCATTGTTCCTTTCTTGTATTTCTGGAATCACTAGAACTAATCTCCAATCTATGCACTGAATTTTGACATACGATAAATGCCATGATTTCATTAATGATTAAATACTTGTCTGAAGTATAACTTTTAAATATTCAGTGATGATATTCATTGACAAGTGACAACTAAATCTGTTTCTCCTGCCTGCAAAGAACTTTAGGGATAAATATTTATCCTGTTTTATTTCTCTCAGAAGCTCCTATATTGACCCAAAAGTAGAAAAATCTAGATTTTATTCCAACATATATTATCATTCTCGACAAGTGCAGAAACTGAGAAGGGAGAAAACAAAGCTCAATGTATGGCTATTTTAGCAGCCTTTGATCATGTTGGAATATGGGCAGTGAACGGAGACTGATAAACTCATGCAGTTCTTTGCCATAAAGGCTACTTTAGCGTGAAGCCAAAAAATGAGAGGGGTAGGCTTACTTTTCGCAGATTTAACCAAGAACAATGACACCATTTGCAACCACAGTGCAGAGCCAAAAAAAAAAAAAAAATCATTGCATGCTTGCCAACATATGCTCCTTAGAGAATAACTGGAAAATGAGAAACGCCTGTCAGAGATTAAGTTCTATTTCTAATGCAAGCACAAAGCAGACTGATGTCTTTTTAATGAAAATGAACATATTACAACAGATGAGTTTTATTTGTTAGTTTTAATGTAAGTTCTTTAGAACTCTGGTTACTGGGTATATTTTTTTAAAAAGGTAAATTTTAAAATATGATGAGTAAGTCTAGCCAATTTTGGCACCAATATAACTAAAGCTTTTAGTGGACCAAATGTCAGGGAGTCCAATATTATCTAAAAATAAAGGGACACGAACCTATTAATACCCACTAATAAGAAATTAAAATTAGAGATTAATGAACATTTCCCCCATTTTGTACCTACTTTCAGTCATAATAGTTAACATTTAAATCGTTGCTCTGTGTCAGTCACTACTCTAAGCACTTTATATGCATTAACTCATTAATCCTTCATAAGAACCCATTTTGCAGGGGAGGAAACTGGGTCAGAAAGAGATTAACAAATTTGACCAAGATCACACAACAAGTGATTTGTGAAGTTGGGATTCAAGCCCACACTGTCAGACTCCAGGGGCTATAGACTTACTCAACATCAACATATCACCCTGCTTTCAGCAAACACATTCTTCGTTGAATGCTTTTAGTCAATATGCTCTGGACTCAAGTAAGCCCTCCAATGAGAAAGCAGAAAATATGTTTTTTTGAGACAGGGTATTACTCTGTTGCCCAGGCTGGACTGTAGTGGCCTAATTATGGCTCACTGCAGCTTGACCTTCTGGGGTCCTGTGATCCACCTGCCTCAGCCTCCCGAGTGGCTGGAACTACAGGTGTGTGCCACTGTGTCAGGCAAAATTTTTTTTTAATTATTTTTTTAGAGATGGGGTCTTGCTATGTTGCCCAGGCTGGTCTCAAACACCTGGGCTGAAGCAAAGTGCTTGGGCTCCCAAAGTGCTGGAATTACAGGTGTGAGCCACTGTGCCTGGCCCAGAAAATATTTGGCCAGAAGAAATAAAGTATGATCCTAATAGAATCCAGAAGCGTAAGCATAGCACTAAATGATGCCCTTAGGCCTGATCTTCAAGCCAGTCATACTGTATAACGTAAGATTTGAGCCGGTGTCGGTATCTTCAGACATGTAGGAGGAAGTGATTTAACTATGAACAGTTGTAAAGTGGCAGCTGTTAGGACAACCCAAATTGTTTTTCCAAGAGAAAACAATCCACACTTAAAAAAAAAAATTGGGCCCTTTTTCTTTTTGTCCTGGCTTCTGTCTTGGCCACCTTGGCCACATAGTGTTGTCTGTTAAATATAATACAACTCATTAGGGCAGTCCTTCATTAAAAATGGCATCAGCTCTAGAAACTCACTATTTAAGCTTAAAGGACTACATATTCATGATAGAGTCGAGAGCCTGAGATTTGGGATGCAAAACCATAGATGTTGTATTGTCAGTGTTCAGCATGTGACCTGAGTCTCATCTGTAAAACAGAAATGCTAGAAATGACCACTTTATTTGGTTATTTTAAGAGTTACATGAGATTAAACATGTGAATACAATGTGAAGGCACTTTTAACTGAACACAGATAATAGTCGATATTATTAACCTTAAATACCTCCAAGTGACTTGATGGGTGTTAGGGCAGTGGAGGTACTTAAAATGTTTGTAACAACACTTTTATTTAGTGACTTTGAAAAATACAGCCTACTGATCACTCTCCATTCACAGAAATTTGGGATGAGTGTATCTTCAGTTTTCAGACAGCGAGACATAATTCCTGAAGTAAGCATTATCTAAAAGGTAGAAGTCAGCTGCTAACTAACAACAATGACACCTCAGAAGCACAGAGGTCAGAGAAAGGAGCCAAGAAGAGTTTGATGAAGGGCTTAGAGCAGGAGTGGTTACTCCACAGTTTAACATGGCAATTGACTCAGAATTTAGAAGAACAGTAATAGAAATACTAATGGATTCATCTTTTTAAAAAAATGAATAAAAGAAAATAACCTATGACTTGGGTAACTTGCTTCACCTCCTGGGCTTCAGTTTCCAAACTGTAAAATGAAGGTTATTGCAAGTAAATAAATTCCAAAATCACTTCTAGTTCTAATCTCTGGTTTTCCAGATCTTTCTATAGTTCTATAGTTCTTTCCCAATGTATTTGTCATACATTTTCTGGAATCTACTTTTTCTTTTTCTTTCTTTTCCTTTTTTTGTGATGGAGTCTTTCTCTGTCACCCAGGCTGGAGAGCAGTGGCGCGATCTTGGCTCAGTGCAACCTCTGTCTCCCGGGTTCAAGTGATTCTTCTGCCTCGAACTCCTGAGTAGCTGGGATTACAGGAGCGCACCACCAGCCCAGCCAATTTTTGTATTTTTAGTAGAGATGGGGTTTCGCCATGTTGGTCAGGCTGGTCTCAAACCCTTGACCTAAAGTTATCCGCCTGCCTTGGCCTCCCAAAGTGCTGATATTGCGGGCATGCGCCGCCATGCCCGGCTACTTTTTCTTACACTGCATGTTCTTTGCTTGTATTTGGGGGTTACACTGCTATCTTGAAATGAGATATCAACATAGGCTTCTATCAATAGTTAATATATAGGTTACATCTCTAAACGAAGTGGAAGCATTTATCCACACCATTACGGCAGCTCCTCCACAGCTCACGGGTTTTACTTGATGGTTGAGGAAAGGCCAAATTATTATGTGCCCGATGGAAAAAAGGGAAAGAAAAAGGTGATAAACTTATATATCCAAGTTTTCTCTAGAGAAGCAATCACTTTTGCCCTCCTTGGCTGAGTTGCCATAGCCCCAAAGTAGGAAGAATTAGAACCTAAAAACTGTGCAAAAATTTCACAGAATTTGGGGATTTTCTTCAATAAGACCTTGAATAAAAATGTGAAGATTAAATAGGTGACTAGCCTCAGTCTAATACTGCATAGAATAAACTGTTACACCAACATAAATATAGAGTGGTAACAGGAGATTGGTCAATTTTGGTAGAGAATTTAAGTTTTAATGCCAGAAATTCAAAATTATCCTGGCAGAGGAGAAGGATATGCTTAATGTTTTCTGGAAGACACATGCAAATTACCTCATCTTTGAACATTCCCTAGAGGCTATTATTATTATTTTTTATCCCATTCCCAAGTATTACTCACAAAGTGGAAAGGGATGACCAATTTCTTAAAATGCTCTTGACACTCTTTGGTGCTTATAATGTATATTTGTAGCCTCCGCTGAAAGCTTAGGTACATGTACACCAATCTATTTATATTTACCTTGTTTTGCTCATTCTTTTTTCTTTTAAACATGGATATTATTTTAATTGAATTTTTAAAAAACTACAGTATTTTCGAAAAACCAACAGGATTCTCATTTTTGGACCACTTACAAGTTGTTTTTCTTACATCCATCATCTTTGTGCTGTCTGTCTTCCTGGCAGCCTGCCATGAAGCTGTTTCTGTTTGCTCAGCTCTAGCTTTCCTATTCTAAAACTTATTTCAGAAGAATCAGCATCTTGCCCTCTCGGAAGTTAGGAGATGGCTCTATGCCTACTCTACAATGACTGGGACCCTGGGAAATTACAGCTGTTGGCCTCAGTTTCCACATCTGAAAAATCATGGAAATGGGCATATGAGAAGGTAGGAGCAGGGAGCTAGATGTGCCCAGGCATCTTTCCTGTCCTATGGCTCAGGACCTCTCTTCACTGAACCTTTTTCTACTGATGACTGAGTGTATCTACTGGATCCAGCTTAAAACACGTTGATAGTAACCAACATCCAGCATCTCCCGAAGGAGATGTGTTACCTCTTGGACTAACTCCATCTTTTGCCCACTTGAAATCTGTGTTATTGAAGGCTCATTTTTATTTTACGTTCTCCTAGTAAAAGTCATGGCCATTTAGACCTTTGAAATGACTGTTAGAAATAATTGATCAAAGAATCAAATAATATCTTGGTGCTGGAAAGTGTATCCCACAGAATTATTTTTACTTCAGGATGACATATATAACCTTGAATTTTAAGTTCAGTAGAGCAGGCAATGTATTTATTTAGAGGGCAGGGCCATTAAGGCAGACTGTTTTTTTTTTTTTCTTGTTTGAATTGGAAAAAATGGTAATATATCCTTTACGTCACAGTAGCACCCTAGTGGTTATCATATTGCATTAGTTACATGAGTTTTTGGGGAACATTATACAGTATATACTGCCTCCAGTAAATACACCAGTCATGCATACAGTTACATAGCCAGCGCCAGGAAATTTAGGATGACATTCCCTGCAGGTTAGTAATTCTACCCATTATTTATATTGGTTTGATTTGAAACTAGAGGAAGCTAAGTATTTTTGAAGACTTTTCTGACAGAATTCTAGAAAAACCAGAGAATGAATATTTAAAATAGGTTAATTATCTTTCAAATTTTTTTTGAGAACACTTAAATTTAGTCATAATGTCAAATCATTGAGAAAGGCAGGAAAAGAGTAAAGTACAGGCATGTTTCATCTATAACTTGAAGCCATTCATAAATAAAAATCTATCTTGGGTGTATACTTAACAAAATGATCTTTAAAAATGGATTAAAAAATTAGTAATGAGCCTGTGACAGAGTTGCTAAAGCAGATGTGGAAATTGTGGAACATCGTCTTGGCAGTTGAAGTGGCCTTTCCAGCTGGATGTCTTCAGAAAGTGAGAATTTATGTTTAAGCCACAATACAGAAGTCAGTAGTATGTGAAGATGGTTGTCATAACAGTGCAAGATTTTGATGCAAACACTTGATGATTGTAAGGAACTTGACCAATAAAGTCTGTGCTGTCATAATGAATGAAGACCAGGTTATTTGAAACTTCTAAAATAGCATCTTACTTATAATGATGTCAAAGTATTTCATGCCTTTAACTTATTTACTTTGGAAGGAAACAGAAATATAAACAGGCTGATCACCGAGACTACCCCTGAGCCACACGTTTTCTTTTATCCAATAATCTACGTTTACCTATGTTCCTCGCTATGAGAGGGTCCCTGTGTCTAGTGCCTAGGAAGGCTAACACAAGCACAGAGAAAAAAATGAAGTCTCCAGGTTTTGTTTTGTATTGTTTTTTAACCAGTTTAGAGATGGCATATGACTAGGAAGGACTGCATAGGCTCCTGATTTATAAAATGGATACTACTCAGCTCACAAAATTGGTATATTAGTGAAATATGGTACTGTACCGGCTCGGTGTCATGGATACTTGGTGGATATCAACTCTCTTTTCTCTTCCTCCTATAAGCAGTATACTTCTGTCAATTACAAAAGTCTATGCAAGCAATGTGAAGAGATAGTAACTGAGTAACTTTGGGCAAATTATCTAAACCTGAAGGAATTGGATTATTGGGAATGTCAAACAGGTTTCAGTGTTTGTGCATCCTTTCCTTTGGTAGATCTCTGATCCTTTAGAATATTTTGGAAGTGGTGGCCATGCTCCATGGTCGGCTAGCAGCAGTTCAAGCTATGCATTAAGCAGAAGAAGAGCCTTCATGGATCCTGTTTTTGCTGTTGCTAGAACCAGATAAACTCCAACACCACTTCTATATCTATCATCCTGCCCTTCTGTTTGTACCATTGATTAGTTCTCTGTCCACTTCTAACTTTGATTATTGCCCTAAAATTCTAAGATTTTTGGAATGTTTTCCAGATTTTTTCTCATTTCTTCATGAAAATTGAAAGAAATATCTTTTTCCTTTTTATACCTTATTTTAGGGGTTATCTGAGAGTAATATTATCTCATTTGTCATGAACAGAACTTGTTGAAAACAATGTCAAATATTTAACATGAAAGTTTAGGAAATTATAATTCAACGTGCATTCCTGTTACAAGAAACATAAAATGTACAGAAACTGTGGTTTTTCCCCCTGAGAAAATGGTTTGTTAAGATAGTAAAAATCACTAGAATGTAAGCTTCAAGATGACATGAACTTTTGTCATAAAGAGTGCCTGTAACAAAGTAGGTGCTCACTAGCATTTGTTGAATGAATGAATGAGTGTCTGCTGCCTTAGGTAGAAGAGATTCTTGGACCATTTCTTGGCTTGAGAATCTCAGAGAACAGGGCTAGAGCAAAAGCTGAAAGTCAGTTCTCAGGTTTAGGGACCAACTCTGTTGATATCCATTCATGGGATTTCACTCATGAAAGGAATGTGGATGTGCTACTTGGATGTGCTAGACTGACTCCCTACGACATAGATTTCAACCTTTATTTTGCTTCCCAATGACATCTTCTGGTTGATTATAGATGTTAATGCCAAGATTTTCACATCCCGTCCAAACAATATGCTAAGTCTTATAACAGAATGTACCCTGGTGCCCATGGGAACTCAGAAGAGAGAATTTCAAGTCATTTTTTAAAAGGGCATCACATGATTGTTAGGAGAAATAACTAATACAAGTGGTTTTGACAAGAAATTCTTAAATATTTCATAGGAATAACAGTGTCATTATTCTTTGGATCATCATGATATGAGTCATCAATTATGCTATTGGATTCAATTCAATTTAATCTAATAAGAATGAAATGAGCACCCACTTCAAGCCTAGATGTGTTAAATGTAGTTGGGGTACAAAGAAGTATAAATATGATTAGGGTAGATCATTTCATTACTCTTTTGTTAGGGTTCCTTTTCTAAATGCATTTATGTTGACTTTATATGATGGCATGAAATTGTGTTAAGCCATTATAAAAATTATCATTGTTTTCCTTTTCTTTCTGGGGAAAAAAGTGTTCTGCAAATATATACATTCAAAAAATCATATGAAGTATATATAGATGTATCTCATAAGTATGTATTTATTCTGATACATGTGTCTTATTCAGAAGCATGTATCTTATACTTTTCATTCTGAAGCTTGCATCTTATTTTCAGAATAAATATATAATACATAAATACATGTGCTCCTTACTGATAAATATATAACTCTAAGGTCATGGTAATTAATATGTTTTCTATTGCTGTGTATTCAAAACAACTTTTAGGAAAAGAAGTCGAATAGCTCAAGAAAAAAAAAAAAAGAACTAAACAGCAGTGGCTTGTTTTACAAATGGGTTTGCTGAGAATTCCTTTAGTTACACGCTAGAGATATTTCTTGATCCCTTTGTTGGTCAGCATTAGTGAAGTTCATTACATTAGATTTAAATTATGTCAGTCACTGTCTAGGTGCAGACAGATTCAGAAAGGCATATTGTAAAAATATAGTGAGCATTGTTGCTATTTCCAACCAAATTCAATCTTTTGGTGTTGGATTAACCTATTGTATTCATGTTCACATTTATTTATGCTTGGCAGAATTCAACTTCCTGTTTTCCAGAGGAAGCTAAGAACTCCTAATTTTAAAAAATAGCTAAAAATCCAGAGCTTTAAGACTCACAAGGCTTTTGAATGTCAAATGGATCTTATAGAAAAATATTTGATGAGTTAAGTATTAAAGAATAAGAAACATATGGGTTAAATTTTACTGAAATGCACATGGGCTTAAGAATTAAGGAAGAAAGGACTTGGCAAAATATGGTTTTGGTTTTGCCAAATCCAAAGTTTGAGAATAGAGTAAGATATTGAACAAACCCAAACCATATCTGGCTTTAGCCATCTGCTAGCCTGTTGTCTACAAAAGCCTTTTGATGGGGCTTTGCCTTTCTAAAACCACTGATGACACCTGAATTCGACATGTGGTGTCCTTTAGTGCCTCTGTGGGCTGGCTAGCCTGACCGCATAAACTTGTAGTTCCATATTCTAACAGGTTTGGTGTGTCAGATTTCCCAGTAAAAGTGTAGACTTTTACTAATGAAACAATTAGCCTAAGACTTGATTGCATTTTTAATTCAATAGATGTCACATTTAAATATATAGATACAATATTTATATAAGTATAAATTATTTTTATAAATATTTGTTATATATAAAATAAAATATTTGAATGCTACTATAGTTAACTATTTTACTATATTATCATAGAACTTTATTAATATGAATATGTACTTGGTCATATCCCATAAATCTCCGTTTTCTAACCTACCAGAACACACTTTCTGTTCTTCTTTTTGGATGCTGAGGATTTTTATCTTTTATTATGCTTATCTAAATGCATATCTTCTCCCCCATCTCAAATTTAAAGCTCATTTTGTGAAGAATTTTTGTTTGATTTATACTCCTATTTGTCAAAGATATCTAGGCTAGTATATATAAATAAATAACTTTACATTAAAGTTGCTGCATGTATTGATATTTTACAAAACATTTTAATAGACAGAGTTTTAAAATGAACTCTTATATCATCTTGCCCAGAGCCATCTCTCCTAAATTTTTTGTACATTTATGATAGTGTAATTTTACATTTGATTCGATTGAAATGACCTTCTATCCACCTCTGATCAAAAACAGTTTATATAAATTTCCAACACCATAACCTCAATAAAATAAATGTACATCTAAAAACTATACAATGGGTATAGAATACATGTTTGTATTATCTGTATATTACATTGTAATATATGGTTTGGATTATCTTTTTTCCACCTATTTCTTTAAAAGCAATGCAGCAATAGATTCCTATTCTGAGTAGTCAGAACTGCCCTGAAACACATTCACACTTCCACAGTCGACGGGGCTTTTAATAAATGAACACCACTTCACTTTGCAAGCAGTAGTGTGATGTGCCTACATTTTAATTATACACATATTCCAAAGTTCCAAGTCTCTCTGTAGTGCGGTCCACATTTCATGCTGGAGACACTTGGCCAAGACTGAATTCATATGTCCTACAGGGTTACATATGATGTGGCTCCTCTCCCACTGGGTTACACAGGATATGAGCTGGGTCCTGGCGGCTTCTGAATCAAGAATAAGAGAAGCTCTTGTGGTGTGAATTTAAAGAGAGAAAAAGCCTGTCTCTGGCATTCAAGTCGCTGGAAGTTTGGCATGTCTAGCTGGGAGTAGACTTCGGCTCACAGAACTGAGAGATAACTAAACAAAGATTTGTTCAATTTGATAAACCCCCTAGCAAAGACCACCTTGCCAACTTTCTTTCTAAAGAAACTTTTCACAGCTGAACTATAAAACCTTGAAAATCAAGGATTTGTAATGGAAATGCTGACAGATCCAACTAACTCAAACTTGTACCAACCAAGCATTGCTATCATATTTTATAACTGTTTGAGAAGTTTATAGAAAGGAATGATACATTTGCTTCATGGGATCCATTTCCTTTGCTAAAAACTACCAAATGTCCCCAGAGTAGACTCCTTCACTCTTAGAACTTTCTTGATACTCTTTTCTTAAGAATAGAAATGTTAAAATTGCTAACTTCTCCTGAGGCTTGAAAGCAACTGTTGCCTCATCCTGTATTCTTGTTTTACACTTGATGAAGAAAATTCAGACACTGCCATCGGTGCTTCAGTGTTTATTAGTTATGCATTCTTGAAAACCTGTTCAACATTTTAGCAAATTTACCAAAATTATCGTAGAGATGAATCTTCTTTGTGAGTTTTGAACAAGTGGAAACATTTACTCTATTCTCAAAATGCTGGCCAGAAAGTGAAAGAAAACTTAAATGCAAAAAGTTACCATCATCTTAAGGGTGGTGTAATCTTTGTACAGATATGTAAATACAAATTTCCATTTATACCTTTTTTTGAATTCATACTGCTTTTTTGTTAATCCTTAAATTTCAGTTAGTTGGCCATAGTTCATGCATACTCAAATTGAATTTCATCAAAAATCATGGTTAACAACCACAGGAATAATTAGGAAATAATTACTCACAGACATAATAAACTACAGTGTTACTTATTCCCCTACAATAACGGAGAGTTGACATTTGAATTTCTGAGAAGGTTTAAATATATTTTACATGCTAGAAAAATCTGATGGGTATAATTTTCTCTAATATTAACGAGTGAGACATGATTGCTCGAGAAACAAGAGAAAAGCTGGTTGGTCAAACATATGCCTTTTGTTTCTACATTTTGCATAAAGGTCTTCACTTGGTATGCGGGTTCCTCAGCAGAAAGGAGAAGTTACAGTTAACAAATTAATGAAAACCAAGTGATGCCTTTGAAGAATTCTTAAGTGAACCTTAACCAGTGCCTTGGGCTACATGTTCAATGCGAACAAAAAAATTAAGGTGAACTGGCCACTGCTACTAAGAGTCAATTGACAGAATGCATGGGTCATTAATTTTGTGTCCTTTGTTTTGTCAGTGTGTTTTCGTGAGGCCTGGTAAAGAAAGTAAAACCACTGATGCTGAAAATTGTCTGCTCTGTAGCTCATTTCCCCTCCCAGCATGCACTGACCCAAGGGAGTGGGCTTCAGGTCGCCAGCCCCCATTTCCCTTTCAAACACTCCCGCCTCCTGCAAGTTTGAGAACGGATCCATTGGGTTGGTGGAGTGGTTAATTCTTTGCAAGTTTGTGCTTAATCATATGCAGAATGTAAGTACCAATAAAAATGAGATGTCTGCTCACAACGTTTCCTTGTATTTAAAAAAGATTCTGAAACAGCTTCTGCAACCTCGGTTCCTTTCAATTATAGCAGAGGAGAGTGTGAAATTTAAATTGGTTGGTTCATCTTAATTCTCTGTTGTTTCATTACCAGTAACCCCTGAGGGCCACCTTTTGGATTTTTGTACCATGAATGAGTGATGTAACTATAAAATGCCCATAATACTGGGGTGGCATGCTAGAACTCTATTTGGCTTTAAACTGTGTTCTAAGCCATTGTGCCCAAAATGTTATTGCTCATCAACAATTCCATAATTCCATATCAAGGCAATCTAGACTGTATCACATTTGATTACCACGAAATTTTATTTAAAAACAGATTTTTTAAGGATCAATGTTTTAAAAAGCTGGCTACCCTATCAGGCTAACTTCTCGACTCTCAGCAAGACTTTTGCAGTCTTCAAAGTGGAAAGGATGCAACTGGCCTGAATTAGAGTAACAATACCTCTGCCTTGGACCGGGAGCCAAGGAAGATTTGCAGATCTTAGGCAAACACTATTTGTAGGTTTAGTTGATAGCAGTCCAGAAATCATAGAATTGTGTGTTGTTCTGTCTTTTTCTTTGAATATTTATCAGCAGCACTAGGTTGTGGCACTAGATGTCAAGTCTAGGGATGATTTGGATGCAATCAGAAATGGTTCAGTTATGGTAGCTTCCCTTCCATTTATTCCTTCATTTGACTTGGTAGCCATTTAGGTGTTTATTGGTTCATTCATTCATTCGCCCACTCGTTCAACAATCACGCAAAGCACATGATAGGTGCTAGGTTAGACAAAGATAAATTAGATAATTCCTAGCCTAAGAAATCGGTTTTGTGGGCCATCAGACATGTAAATAAATACAATATACTGTAGAGTATGCTGGAAGGTAGGGCATTTGGGTGAGATTGAGAGCCTGGAACCCTGCCTATAAATGGGATGGAGAGATGAACGTACTTGTAATAGTTTACTAGGGCTGTCCCAACAGAGTACCACAGACTGAGTGACTTAAGCAACAGAAATACATTTCCTTACAATTCCGGGGCCCAGAAGTCTAAGATCAAGGCATTGGCAGGCTTGGTTTCTTCTGAGGCCTCTCTCCTTGGCTTGCAGATCTCTACCTACTTACTATGCCCTACTTACATGATCTTTCCTCTGAGCATGCATGCCTCTGGTGTCTCTTTGTGTTTCCAACATTTCTCTTCTTAGAAGTACGCTAATCAGATTAGATTATGGCCCACGATAACAGCTCATTTTAACTAATACTTGTAGGTCCTATCTCCAAATATGGTCATATTCTCAGGCATTGGGTGTTAGGGCTTTAATATATGAGGACATAATCTTGGGTACCATAACAGTACCCAAAGAATAGTACTCAAAGAAGAGATGAATAGAGAGATGTCAAATTGACAGACAACAAAAGGGTATTCCTAGAACAGTGCCTAGAAATGCATCCCTGAACATGTTATACCATGTATAGAGACTTAGACTAAGAATTTGTGCAATACAAACTAAGAGGTAGATTTAGCAGTTTTCCATTTTATTTGATGATTAAGCATCTACTATCTGCAAATCACTGAGTTGAGCTTTGCTTTAGGAGGACACAAGGAAGTAGCGAAAACAAATCATTTAGGGGCCACCAATCTGCTGAATTTCTATATCTTCATCACAGGTTTTCAATTCTAGCTACACATTATAATTATCCTCATAGATTCAGATTAATTGGTTTGGAGTGATTTTCCCAAGTAATTGTAATGCAATTCTAATAATATTGTCAAGTTTAGAATTACTTGAAACTTCTAAATACATACATAATAAAAATAGTTAACATATTGTTTTTACCCTGTGCCAGGTGCTATCCTAAATACTTAAACACATGATTTTATTTAATCTTCACAACCTATCTATGACATAAGTATTATGATAATTCTCATTTTAGAGATGAAGAAATGGAGCAGCTATGTAGGTTCACTGGGCAAAAGTCAGCTAGTTGGTATCATATTGACCCAAATTTCAGGTTTAACTGAATTCTATCACATTTTTAACAAAGTAATTTAGAGAAATTTTTGTGCAGACAGTCTTAATGTCCAAAGATTCTGTTTAAATATATGTCAATAAAATTGTATTTTTTAGAAAATTTCTCAGTGCCAAAAGTATGACAGCATATCCATCACATTTTAGGGATTGTGGGATAAGCATGTAGTGAGTGTTTAATAAATAGTTATTGTCTAAATTGCTATAAATTTTAGAAATTGTTTCAAGAAACTTGAAATGCAATTACATCATTGCATTAAAAGGCTTTATTAATCCTTGAATAAAAGTATTAGAGGCCTGGTACAGTGGCTCACGCCTGTAATCCCAGCACTTTGGGAGGCCGAGGCGGGTAGATCACCTGAGGTCGGGAGTTCAAGACCAGCCTGACCCACATGGAGAAACCCTGTCTCTACTAAAAATACAAAATTAGCCAGGGTGGTGGCGCATGCCAGTAATCCCAGCTGCTCAGGAGGCTGAAGCAGGAGAATCACTTGAACGCGGGAGGTGGAGGTTGTGGTGAGCTGATATCGTGCCATTACACTCCAGCCTGGGCAACAAGAGTGAAACTCCATCTCAAAAAAAAAGAAAAAAAAAAGTATTAGGTGGATGGTTAGCTTTTTTGTTTTTCCTTTACAAGGATCTCTTTTTATTCTATATTTTTCATAGGTTTATTCATGTTTTTAAATAATACTGAATGATAGTAATTATTATATACAGTGAGTAGTTTTTCCATGATAGGGTTATACAAAAAGTTTCAGAGGTTTTTTGCAACACAGAAGGTTTAATAATAAAGATACGGTTGTAATTGTTATTTACCAATATGTTGTGATGGTATAATATTATATATTTTACTAATATGTAAAAATGGTCTATACCTTAAAAAAATCTCTTTAAATAATAGGCTATTGCCAGAGAATTGGGTGTATGTTTCATAATATTATTCATAGGCCCTGGAGCTGGCACACAAATAAAGACCCAATCCATTGTCTTTCATAGAATGATATTGCTTAAAGCAAAGAACAGCAGACATAAGGAACAAATACATGAGAGGAGAGGTAAATACATAAAAACTGTATGTGGGCCAGGCGCAGTGGCTCACACCTGTAATCCAGCACTTTGGGAGGCCAAGGCGGGCGGATCATGAGGTCAGGAGTTCCAGACCAGCCTGGACAACAGAGTAAAACCCTGTCTCTACTAAAAATACAAAAATTAGCTGGGCATGGTGGCACGCGCCTGTAGTGCCAGCTACTCGGAGGCAGGAGAATAGCTTGAACCTGGGAGGCAGAGGTTGCAGTGAGCTGAGATCGTGCCACCGCACTCCAGCCTGGGTGACATAGTGAGACTCCGTCTCAAAAAAAAAAAAAAAAAAAGTGTATGTGTACTGTTTCAGTTGATAGATGAGATAATCTAATTAACTTTTATCAAGATATGATAAGATTTAACTTATTTCAAAGCCTGATAGTCTTGTGTACTGCATCTTAGCAAAGTGATCTCATGATAGTTGTGGTTTGGGATGTACCTAGTGACACATCAGGCAGGTGTCATCTGCTAGATAAGGGCTTGGGAAGGATGTGCAAATATAGTCTTCCTGCTAGAGATTGCCAGCCACCTTACTGACCCAATGTTGTATTTATGCAGCTTACAGTGTGTTTTTTAAGAGAATAAAATAACTTGTTCAATTGCCTTCATAATCTATCAAACACTGTTTTGTTTATCTGATAATGCTTTTAGTATTATCATAATATTATTATAGTAGTTCTAATTTTTGTTTTCTAATTAGGCTCAAATATTCCCCTATGATATGGATTACCTTTGGAAAACATCATATTTTAATTGCATGGTTGCTTAATATCTGTAAATCAGAATCAGGGTCAATATCTAAGAATGTCCCATTAACTCTAAAGAGAAATGCTCACTTTTATTTGGAAAAAAAAGGCTTGGCAGACAAGCTGGGAACTACCAGATGGAGGAGGCTGTGCCACATAGATTATAAGTTTTTCCCTCTCTTCTTATTGATGTCTTAAGTTGAACATGTTCCATCTGTCCACTCTCAGTAATGAATAGCGACTTTTTTATTGTAAAGGTAACACATTCCATATAGGGTAAATTAATTCAAGCATATAATGAAATGTGCAAGACTCAATGCTCTGTACTGCGTAGAATTTGAGGATTATGTAGGGAAGTGTGGAAATCCAATACTATTTCTATAACAGAGCATATTTTTACTTGGAGAGGGCATTAGAAACATTCTCTCCTAAGACCTCTCAGTTTTGTTCTCCACTAGGGTCTAAAAGTCTGAGTGATAGGTTGTAGAAATTGTTTGAATCTGATGAATTTTTTAAAAAAATTATTAGTTCTATAAAAATGATTATTTAAAACTAATTAATTTTCTACCACCCACAGTAAAGTACTTTGCTAGCACACTAGTAAACAATTGAAAAGCACTAAGCCACCTTTTTAATGTGTTGACTATGTCTAAATCCAGCTTGTCAAATATAATATGAAGATAATGTTTTTAAATTTCTTTATTCAAAGCTTTGGCTTTTTTAAAGCTAATGTCTCTGGTTTGAATTTTTCTTCTATCTTGTGGCAAGGATGGTGGCTTTTCAACATTTAACCCTAGCGTGGCTGTTCTGTTGTTTTTCGCATATTTCATTATTGATACTTCTATTAATAATATTATATTTCCCCTTTATAATGATAACAACAAATACTATTTATGTTTTGCATATTTCAAATTGTTTGGGTAGGGCTAAATCTTCATTCTGTCTCTCCATAAATGGGCACCCAGAACACTTCCAAAGGAAAACCAATAAAGGAGTCATATGATTCTTTTATTGTTAAAACAGGATTAAAATTTAAGCAGCTGCTTGGCCTGGTTACTATATCTATTTTTAAAGCCTTCGTTTTTTTGCTGTTGTTTGTTTTTGTTTTTTTGTGTGTGATGGAGTGAGGTTGTTGTATGTATCAACTGTTTGTGTCAATAAGCTTTGAAATGCTAACTCCTTAAATAGTTTAAGACACTTGGCTTTAATTTTTGGTGTGGCAATCTTCTCTTTCTGTGACTAGATTTTACTTGTTGATCTCTCTGAAATCTGGAGTTGGAAGTTACTATTTCTTTGCTTACAGATAATTGAAGCCGACCAAACTTGTTAAAGTCAAAACCAACAACACCATGCTTTAGTACACGCCTCTGGGTTTAGTCACAGACTCTGGTAGGTTCTGCAAATGGCACAATTTATGCGGTGGCATGTCAGAAACTTAATGCTGTAATTTTCCTCTTCCTAATGGAGAATTAAGAATCTAAAGGGTCTGGGCTGTTCACATGGACCGAATCCCCACAGCTTGGGTGCAGAGGTCTCTCAAAAATTTAGTAAGTGAGAAGGAGAACAAAGATTCTTAGTTGGAGGGGAAAAAAATTAGATCGCCTGTGGCTGAGAAGCTGAGGGGGACAGGTAGGCACAGTGGGGTGCAGGATAATGAGGCACATGGCAAATGTGATGCACAGATGTTAAGCCAACTGTAGCTCCGGCTCCCAAACTTGTGCATGCCACAGCACCATGCCTCGGGGCTATGTCTACACCAGAACATTTGCAGCAGTAAACGACGGCAACATTAGGTTCAAATTAATCTATTACTCCAGAGCTGTGAAATGTTGGTTGCTTGTTTCAGAATTACATTGCCTGTGGGTGAAATGTTTTAGGTAGATTTTAATGCAAGCTCATGGCTTTCTGAGGAGATTAAGAGGAGAAAGGGAAATTAGAACAGTTAGGAGAGTTGTGGAGGGGCACATTTCTGGTTAAAGTATATGAAAAAGTATTACATATTTCACGGGCAGGTCTGGTCTCCTGTTGGCCACCTGCTGGGACTGAAATATCCCACATCATAATGAAGGCAGGTTTGCAGAAGCCTTGTAAATACTTGAGCCCTGCAATTGAAGAAGGCAGACAAAGGGGGCTTTGGGGTCTCCTGGAGACTTTTGAGGGTTAGGCCTGTCAGGCGAGTGCTCCAAATGAATTTGGTAATTTATTATTCTGCACTTGTTTAGTGGAACATGTAAAATTTTGCATTTAGGTTTTTACCCTCATGAGTTTAAGTAAACTCCGGAGTAACAGGTAGCCATGTGACGTTTCAGAGTATGTTTCGAAGTAATCCTGTTCTCCCTCTGCCCATTCTTTCACTGATATTGGCAGGTTCATTTTCACAAACCTGTCTGGGACTCAAACGCTCTATTTTTTCCAAAGTGGAAAAACCAAACTTTGAATTAACCTGGATTTTTTTGGTCAATTAAATAGTTTATTCAATCAGACGGGGGAAAAAACCTGTTTGGAAGTATCTATAAAGAATTTTTTTTAACAATATTGTCGTTTTTCTTATAAAAACACTTAATTGAAATGCCTAAGAGCTGCCCAGCACAAAAGTCAATAAAAACCCTAGAATAGAGTTTATAGGGGTTGTCTATGTACATAATTAAATCCTTCAGGCACTTTAAAACTCTGCAAAATAAATGGTTATGCAAGAATAGCCTGCTGAGAGAAGAAATGCTTGTATCAGCTTTAACCAGCTGCCCTGTGTTCCATGTTTCTGGGTTGGAATGAGAAAGCTATTAGAACACTGGAAGACTGCAAGCCACATACAAATCATCTTTGTTACTGACACTTGGGGGAGTACTTTATAGTGGCTGTCAAGACCAATACAAAACATGGTTTGTGCCTGAAAAAGTCAAGTGCCATTATTCAAAAAGAAGATGTTAGTAATCCAAATAACTGAACAACATCCAGGATCTTCATTGAGTTTAGCTGCTATAGACGCAGATTTATTATTGAGTCTGACTTAAGTAAATTAGCATGTAGGTTTGCATTCTAGATTTGATGGAATAACAAAGGTTAATTACTTGCAATGATCTATGCTGGAATAGGAGTAAAAGGGGAGAGCTATATTTAGATTTAATTTCACCATTCTTAAGGGAATACTATGTGAGGGGACGGGATTATTATAGGGGGCAAAGGAAGGAGTGCTAAGGAAAAGAAAAAAAAAAAAAAGCAAGCAGTCTAATGAATGTAACCAATAGAAAAATTGTAGGTTTGTTTCTCTCCCTGGCCCTCAAAGTTATGATAAATGATAGCACAAGGAAAAGATAACCTACCATGAGAGTAGGATCACCAAGGCCAAATACTAAAACTCCCAGCTGACTGGCCCATACACTGCAGCCTCTGTTCGTGTTTATTTTTTCTGCTCACTCTTGGTTTCGTCAATCAGTATGATAGACGATAAGTCCTGACTAGAGCAGCCCGCGTCCTGCTCTCTCACGGTGGGTAGCATGTTGTGGTTGGCGCCGAGCAGTCGGAGGATCGCCCGCATCAGGAGCACCAAGGGGATGAGGTTCGGAGCAGTCTTCCAGCAGCCGGCTCCTTGGAGAATAGCAGGCAGGAGCGTTATCAGCGGAGAGTGGAGTTGCCAAGAAACTGACCACACATTAGTAGCTTTGTTTGGGTAGAGTCTAAGGGGGCTGTAGCTCATAGACTTGAGACACTTTCTGTTAAATCATCCCTGGATTTAAGTGTTAAAAGAAAGCTTGTTCAAAAAGAAACCAGGACTGATTGCCGCAGGCAGTCCTGTGACAGGACTCTCAGGATTGAGAGTCAGGAATTTGTGGAGTTGCTGTGCTGAGATGCAAATGGACATCAATTTAAAAAGAAGAAAAAGAAGAAGGCTCCTCTCGTGGTCTACCATTTACTTCTAAATTAACTATCTCCTAATGTGTAAAACGGCATTAAAAGTGCCTTTAAAAGAAATCTATAAACACAATGGGGAGCTTTAGTTAGCTGGTGACATATGAAACACTGCTCAGTTAGCCGACAGATCATCAGATAGATGGAATTTCCTGAATGCTATTCACAGATCACTAATGTTGTTTATCTACTCTCAGCACTAATACTTTTTACATTTCATTCTAGGAGAAGATTTTTACTTTATTTCATGTATCAAAACTTCTAGAAAAATTTTAATATCACCAATTTTTTGGAAACCTTATTTTGTAGAAGCTTAAAGACTATAAAGAAAATTAAAAATGTCCTGACTTGATTCGCTGAAGTAGCCAAAGTGAAATTCTTTTGATATCTTGTGATGCAACATTGGTCAAACATTTCCTGTTCAACATTTCTTTCCTGGGTATTAGTGGTTCCTTTCTCAAGAACAAATGCTTTGGAAATCTGGTGCTCTGTATAATTACAAGAAATTTCAAATAAGTGATCAGTACACTTTCCCCAAAAGTAATGCTTCTTGATAGAGTAAGGTAAACTTGACAGTTCTTTTTGTGTAGATAATTTTTCTCCATTTTAGAAATTACACTAATGTGTGAAGGAATGTTTCCCCCTAGCTTAAGGTACATTCCATAAACAAAATGAATAGTTTCGGATTCTCTTTATACCTGGTGTTATTGTAACTGCTGATGTATGTTAAGGTGAAATTTAACACTGGAATATTAGTTTTATTTCAGTTAATTATGTTTCTAAGAGCTCATGAACCCTAAGATTTAGGGTTGGTCTGTTTCTAGTTATCCTGCCAAGTTTTTTACTTGATGGAGGGGGTCTGTTTCATTCTGCTTGGCCTCTCCACCTTTGTAACCCCTGGTTTCCTCTTTTCCTGAATCACAAATTTACGTTCTCCCCTTCTGTGAGAAGATTGAACGCTTATTCAACTCCAAAATGACTATGGTCACAAAATATCAACAGTGATTTTTAATAGATCTTTGCCTATCAAAATATTGTTGCTTAATAATAGGGTAAAGGTAGTTGTGGCTGCTGATAGGAAGGAATCTGACTATTAATAAAAAGCAGACAAGGGTCTTGAAACAGTACTTCCACTGTTGCAATGTAGACACTTTATATTACTTTATTTAGTGCAACACCTGCAGCTACTCACATTGCTGGTGGCTGAAATAATCCAGGTCCACACGGAGAGGGCATTACAATTTCATTGTGCTGTTTGTGCTTACTGTTTAAGCCTTTCTCACAGGAGAAAGCATTAGCTAAGTGTACAGTAGATAATAAAAAGGGGGATTTGGGCTCATCTGTTCCCCTTAAATCTGTCTAATAAAATCTCTCCTCATAATTAGTATCTGACTCCTTTTCTACCACTGGCTGGCATCTAGAGGCAGGTAGAGGCACAAAATGGCATTTGTTTTTTAGTTGTCCCATTTCATGACTTTATGGATCATCCCCTCTTTGAGCCTTCATGACCTAAGTTCTGAGACTTAGGAAACTGTATACTTCCTAAGATTCTCTTCTGCAGAAGTTATAATAGATTTCAGATGGAAGATGTTTGGGATCTCAACAGGACAAAGAGGACACATCATTTTAAGGCAATAATAACAAGCCATTCTTCATCCTTAATTGACAACTTAATTTAGATTTTAGACGAGTCCCTTTTAGTGATGTCCTATTTTAATTTCAACCCCAAATGCTGATAATCATGAATTCAAAAACACAGTCTATAAAAAGTTCCATCAAATGAATTTTGGTTTAGGCATGAAGATTTAGGGTGGGGGTTGGGGAATGAGGCTGAAACCCAGCTAGAGGTCATTTCTTCCTCATCTATGCTGGAACAGCTCAGAGTTCAGGGGATTCATACTCTTTTGACTTTAATTGCTCTGGGGCCACTGAGGCAAAGCAATGGTGCTGTATTTGTCTGGGGGTCAAAGAAGCAATCACAAAGGTCTTCAGAATATTTTCAAACATTTGGGGGAGATAGATGGTATTCAGACATTCTATAATCATAAAACCAGTTTCTAGATAGTTGTCGAATTTCCTAAACTACACTTGCTGAAGTTTATTTGGTTATTGAAACATTTAGCTTAACCAGTCATGTTCTTTCTACTTTATGAAAATGTAGACAGGAAATTATCAGCAAATTGCTCGTTTAGAATTAAAGACAGGAAATGAACTTCAGCAGTTGAATTCTTGTAGTAAAAAGCTTCTACAACTAAAGCATAAGTAAAGCCAGCAAACCTTTTATTTTTAAGTCTGGGCTTTGTTATATCAACACAATGGAATTAGGTACTCTGTCCTATTTCGCCTCAAAGTTTCCATATTGCTTTTTACAGCATCTACAACTGTTTCTGTTACTAATTTCCTTGTAATTTTTAAAATGTAACTGAGGTTTCTATTCTTTACTTATTTAGAAAAAAATACAATTTCTTGGATTACATTAATAGATTAATGTAGGATATGACACAGAAATGGTAAGCTTGCTAGTTTATTTATTAGGACACCCCCCAAAATAAATATCTTTTTAAGTTCTCATATTATTTTCATCTGGAAGTCTAGAACTTTTTATTTGAATCTCAATTATAATATATTTTAACTTATATTTCTAAATAGTTAATAGGTTTCCCTTGATGTGAACTTTTCAAGCCATTTCTTTTTGATAGCTATTACTTAGATTTTATTCTTAATATATTATATTGTTAGTATGTCCAATATATCAGTGGTATCTACAAAATAATTCCTGTATTTAATTTTCTTTTATATTTTTGTTGCCATTTTTATTTCTCCATATATTTCAAATACTCTAATATTCTTTAAAGTTCTCCTTATTGGTATTACATTATTTAAATAAACCACAAGCATAATTCTCCTCCAACAAAATGATTTGTACCATATCTGACTATTTTGATTACCTTTAAGAAAAAAGGATTAAACAAGAAAGAACCTCAAGCTTTAGCCAAACTGAACAATTTACTCAACTTTGCTTGAGGACGTCAGAAAATTAGGGTTTTGTGATTAATTTAAAATTTACTTTTATAGCAGTTCACATGTAACATATCTTTAAGTATTTTGGAACCCATAAAAAGCAAGAATTATTCTGCATTTCAAAAAATATATAGTGTTAATCTATTATTATCGATTCTCATTATGATGAAGATGTGATACATTCAGGTAAGATTTAAATAAGTATGAGACATTCTAGGTTTATTGGTATTAGCATTTTATAGGATTAATCATAATACATATTTTGTGTAAGTTAGTTTATAATCTTTTGTTAACTGACTAAATAGTGGATGTATATATTCATAGTGGTTTTTCTACCACCATTTTGAAAGTGAAAACTCACTTTTAATTTAATATTCAAACTGAAATTTCCTTAGTTGAATTCTATAAGAGATCTTAAGAGAAAGTGGACTTTCTAATCAGATTTGTTTATCTGAATCAGCTTTATGCCTTATGCAAACTTTTATAAGAGAGTCCAGGGGATATTTTAGCTAAACCTTTGGAAGATATTGCCTCCAAATTGTTTTATTTAGTAATAATTTTATTCAATGGTTTGTTCGTGGGGTTTTTTTGGTTTGGTTTTATGGTTCCTGTTTGAGTCTTCCTTACATTAATCTGAAGGGCTTGTAAATTTTAGCTTGCCTATGCCTAAGAGTAAAATTGCTGTGGTCATTTCAGGTAGCAAAACATCAAACTTGATGCTCTCTCATGTTTCAGTAACTCTTCGCATGTTCCTGTGAATTTAAACCAGTTTCCTAGTATATGAGTTCATACATCTACTGAAAGAAACATGACTATATTCAAATTAGCATGAGGTTTGACTTAAATCATGCTACAGCTGGCATTTGTGGGCTAATTATCAACATTTGTTAATCTGAGAGTTTTTGAGGATGTCTTTGATTTTGTCAGAAAAAATAATTTCTTTTTTCTTTTTTCTTTTTTTTTTTTTTTTGAGATGGAGTCTAGCTCCATCACCCAGGCTGGAGTGCAGTGGCATGATCTCAGCTCACTCCAACCTTTGCCCCCTGGGTTCAAGCGATTCTCCTGCCTCAGCCTCCAGACTAGCTGGAATTACAGGCACCTACCACCACACCCAGCTAATTTTTGTAGTTTTAGTAGAGATGGAGTTTCACCATGCTGGCCAGGCTGGTCTTGAACTCCTTACCTCGTGATCCACCTGCCTGGACTTCCCAAATTGCTGGGATTACAGGTGTGAGCCAACCTGCCTGCACCAAAAATAATTTCTTAATAGTAAAGAGTAAGAAAATTTGTGAAGTTAAGTACCAATATAGAAAAATCCAGGATAAATTTTAAATGGTTAAATAGTATGGGACTTCTAAAAAATGGGTGAACTATATAACTTTAAAGTTAGCTAGTATATTTACTTTAGATTTTTGCTCTGGTGTTCAGGTATGCAGTGATTTTTGGGAAGCATAGTCATTCTTTTATTCAGTCAACAAATATGTTCATTTAACAACAGTAAGTGCCACATTTTTTTTTTTTTTTTTTTTTTTTTGTGATGGAGACATTGCAGTTAGCACAGCAGAAATATGTGTCGCCCTCATGAAGCATGCATTCTAGTAGGGAGGGACAGCACATCAATAAAGGAAGATTATTTCATACGGGGACAAGTTCTATAAAAATAATAAAACTGTAGTGGAGAATGAGTGACTAAGGGTGGTCAGTTAGCTCTTAAAATAACAATTTTATATTGAATACTATAGTGAGTTACACAATCTTTATCTGAGTGAAATCCTTTGGTACTTATTCAGACAAGAGTTCTGACTCTCATGCTTGAGGATAAGATTTTACATTTCAGTATTACATTGAAGATGTTTCATTTTTAACCAGACTAACTTAGTATATTGTTATTTTTAATGTGACCAAAGAAATATTTTCATAGAAGCTAATGCTGAGTCTTTTGATAATTTGCCGTATCTTAGTCAATCCCAAAAAATTTATTTTCTACTATTTACATATTATCCTAGTGGATATTACATTACTTACTGAAGCCTTTGGTTCTATGTTTCATCTACTCAGACTTAATTCAGGAAGAGCTTCATCCAGATGTTTTGTTTATTTGTTTCTCGATTACATGTATGAGATTTCAGAATTTATGAGATCATAGGTCAAGTGAAAGGTCACAGTTGAGAGGTCAAGTAAGAAGCTAAAATTTGTGAAACCAAAGAAATGACAGGACAGTGCCAAATGAAAGGTCAAAAGTCAAGTGACAGACTCAGTACAGATGAAAGCAAGTGGTGAGTTTGTTGAATGTCTGAGCACGTTGAAGTGTCTCAATAGTCATGCACACAAAGTCAAAGGTTCTTAACCTTGGAATTCACAATTAATAATAACGTGCCACTTGTTATTGTATAAATATATGTTACTTATTCACAGAGAAAAGCATCTATTACATACAGTCAAAGAGTCTTTTCATTCATTGATTATCATTAATCAGGGTGACCCTTTTTTGATGACGGCTCTTCGAGGTGTATACAAAACATCCAAATTTGGGAAATCCTAACTAGGCTTTTCTTTTTGTCAGATGCATGAAATATACACAATATACACATGGCAGATCATGTGAGGTGTTAAAAACTTACTTAAAAATTAGAGAATAGATTTTTTCTCTTACAGACTTCACATTGATACCCTATCTGGTTTTATGTCTCCCCTTATTCATTTATGTATTCATTTACTCATGTTTAGCAAATATTAATTAAAAACCACGTCATTTTTAGTTACTTCTATTGCAACACTCGAAGAGAAAGTTTACTTATGAGAAAGAGTTGCTTTTTGAAATATCATGGTGGGGGCATCCTTTCCAAGTTTTATGTGCTGGATAGTACAGATGCTTCTCCACTTAAGATGGGTTTATGTTCCAATAAGCCCTTTATAAGTTGAAAGCATAAATAAAAAATGCATTTACTGCACCAAACCTACTGAATATCCTAGCTTAGCCTAACCTACCTTAAATGTGCTCAGGACACTTACATTTGCCTGCAGTTGGACAAAATCATCTGGCAACACAGTACACTATAGACCATCAGTGCCCTTGTGATCATGTGGCTGACTGGAGGCTGTGGCTGGCTGGTGCTGCCCTGTACCACATATAGCTAGCCCAGCAAAAGATCAGAATTCAAAAAAATCCAGTTTCTACTGAATGCGTGTCTTTCTGGACCATTATAAAGTAAAAAAAAAGGTTGTAAGTTGAATCATATAAGTCAAGGAGCGTCTGTCCCTTTTTTTTTTTTTTTAAGCAAAATGGTTTGATTCCAGGACCTATGATTTGGGAGATAGTAATTATTTGTCATTTGGGGAACTAAGAGAATGAAAACATAAGCGATCCTTGTTTTACATAAATATGATATTATTGCTATTATGTTATCTTTTTTGTGTGTGCGAAGAAAATTACTTTTTCCTCTGCCCTAGTAACAGAGAAACAGGGAAGTCTGTAGTTCTAATTTAGATATGTTTTCATTTATCCATAGAGTCTATCACTTTAATTTTAAAGAATAAGAAATATCATTTATTTGGTTATTTTTCATTCCTCAAAAATTTTACTTTTTTATTATTTATTCCTCCTTTTTTATTTTTCAGGAATAGTAAACACGTTTTCATATGTGAGAGGTGTGTGTGTGTATGCATGTGCATTTGTCATTAACAATAAATGGTTCTTTGGGACTTAGGGACATTTTGTCAGTGATTTGCTTTATGGATCATACAAAGTGACCATTCTTCAAAAGCCAAGCATTTAAAGGAAGTCTCTTTCCATATTCTAGAAATAAACAGCAACATTTCATGACAAACTAAAAAAAAATGAATGATAGGTTAGGGATCTCCAGCTCTAAAAAGAGGAATTCAACAAAAGAGAATTTGCTTTTATGTAGAGTCCTGTGCTTTTTTTCTCATAGAGCACATTAGAATGGTTTATTTACAAGTAAAAATCACATTGATGATAATAGAAGTCAGTGGCAAGTCAATAAGAGTTTAGTCTCTACCAAACTATAAAATTGGACTTTTAAATCATAGCGTAAGCACTGTCGTTGTCCAAAAGAAGTGTTTATTTTTCCTAAGTTTTGCCTTTCATATCACGCCCATAAATTTTTTCAAATATATACTTTGAAAAGCTAAGGGCAAGCCCTGAAGGGTGAAATATTGCAAACCAATTAAAAACAACTGAAGTGAGATTCTAAAATACAGGAGTTTTCCAACTCATGAACAATATTTAGAGAGCTGGTTAATTTTAATTCCTCTGGGAACCATAAGTCTGGGCATTAATAGGCTTAGAGTGATAAAAACAGCAATATACTATGCACATATAGATGGTATTGTCAAAAAAAGAAGCAATTAGTGGCAAAGAAAGCATAAGTATGTACACATATGGTGAGCAGGTTGACATGTAAAATATATGGCCAGGAATAACAGCCAATGACAAAAGAGAAGTGGAAGCTGGGCTACTGTTTTAACTTACACAATAGCAAATAAATGATTTGCACACAAACACATCACTCTAGCCATCTCAAATTATTGAAGGCTCTTTAGTAAGTTTACCAGATTTTTTTTAAATCAGCTAAAAATCTATAATACATGGCTATTCCTTTCCTTTTTCTTTTTTCCCTTCTTTCTTTTTTCTTTTATTTCCCTTTTCTTCCCTTTTTTTAAATTGCTTTTATATGTCTCCCTTATCTCTAGTCTTCTTTCTCTTTCCATCATTTGCTCAATGACATAATTGACTAAATGGATGGTTCAATTCAATCTGCTTAACTTAAAAGTACTGAAGAATCTTGATAGAACCTAAAATACTGATTTTTTTCAATCAAAGAAAGCACCAGAGAAAGGGGCCAACTGACCCTTGCTATCGTTCTCAGTGGTCATCGCTTGAATGGCACAGAGTACCTCTGTGGGGGTGGGCAGAAACTCACCTTTTCAGCCTTTTCAGGTCTGTTTCTATTCTTTCCATGGTAGGAATTGTGTGTCCACTCCAAAAAATCTGTCTCATATTTCTCTTTGAATAAAATTATACCATAAACATTTCTATAAGAAGTTGACCTGAAGGGACACATTTACATTTCACTTTTTAAAAGTTATACAGCTGTCACTATAAAATGTAACAGGCATATTGTAACCGTATCTACTATGTTATAGACTTTGTGTCACTTTCAAGTAAAATAAGTGGTTATGGAAAGGTAATTCATTTAAAAAACTGATAAGCAGCAACATATATTTTACTCCTCCATAGTCAGGAAATTGGGAGACATGCACAGGTTCATTTCCAGCATGAAAATCATGTTACTGTGACGAATTTAGGTGCAGCATGCTCTTTACAATGGAAAGTACTGTAGTATGGAATAAACAGTAATAATTTTAGTAGTATTCTCCATCTTAACCCTGTTTATTTTGGCTATGGTTCTTTTTTGGGATGTCATCTTTCCCAAAACCCAATTGCTAAAAGCTGGTTTCACTGGCAGAGAAATAAAAAAGACAGTCGAGTGAGCTTTAGAGAGTGCTGCAATTAGTTGTGTGTGTATGGAACTGCTTATCTGCGCACAACTGGGTCTAAGGAAACTCTGCTTAGTATTTATTAGGAGTTGAATTTATATGAGAAAAAAACAGATGCTCAATTTTGCTACCTTTCCTTTTAAAGTTTAATGTGCTGTAAAATACAAGGATCTGTACAATTAAAAAGAAGGTGCTTTACCCTTTAACATGTGCCAAACGTCTTTCACCCCCATTTTACTGCATATACCTCCTGTTTCTACAAAGCACCCAAGAAGTAGTTCATCCCCAGATGACATTTCTGATACCGCATGACCCAGATTGCCACAATTTGGGTGAAATAGCCTGAAGAATTATCAAATAAGATAGCTAGGATGATGTTCTGTATTCTCTGGTGTTGGTACAGCACCATGTTTGGGACCCAGGTATTCTAAAGAGAATCCTTCAAAGGCAGTTCCAGGCTGCCCCACAATAATTGAAACATAGGAAAACCAGTATCAGACGTCACTATCTTTCTTTTGGATTTGAAAACAGGAAATGACTTGGCATTTCTAATCCTGACTGGGAGACAGGCCCTGACTCCACAATTATAGAGCATAATTACTCCAAGCTCGGTCTACGAAGAACCCCCAACTGCTTGTTGGGGACCTGCCAGGAAACTGACCTGGGTGAATGGTCTGGAAGAGAACATGAGGTGACAAGAGGCTGAGATGCCATTTTCAAGTAAATATACATGAAAAGGCTGCTTATAAAGGTAGAGGTTGTTAAAATCAGCTTGGCACTAGAGTTTAAGCTGAGAAAAACTGGCAACATACAGTGTTTGGGGCCTGAATCAAATATTCACTGAAGCTTTGAATGGTGTGGTTAAAAAGAATATTTTCAAGAATTTTACTTTAAAAAATTCTCATTTTCAAACTGCACCACAAGCATAGTTTACATGCTGCCTCTTAAAAATATGTGTATACATATATATATATATATATTTTACAAATGGTTACTGGATTCCTATGTAAAATGGGGCCATAGTGTCTTATACTCCCTCTGCAACTCATTTCTTCCTGTAAACATGTAACTCTTTGTTGGTGTTTCTGATGTTACTCTCTCCAAATTCACAGCTCGCTGTGATTCCTATGCCAGTTGCAATACATAAGTTCTTTGATGTGTCTCCCTTCCCTGCCTTTTTTTTTTCTTTTTTAAGATTAACCTTTCAGCTATTAAATTGATTCCTAACAAAAGCTTTTTTTGTGGTTTGCTTATATCATGCTTGGAAGAACAGCAAATAATAGGTAACAGTGGTGGAGCTGGAAATTTTTAAAAGACATGATTCTTGGGTCCAAGTCGTTTTTCACTTTTGTTGTAGAATGGCCTCAAAATGGTAATTTTTGGTATGATCTTTTAGAAAGCCCACCAGAGTTTAGAATATCTCAAAAAGGTGAATTTAAGAGAAACGTGAGAAATTCACAGAACCATAGGACTAAATGCCTTCTCACGTGATCAGAAAGGAGAAAAGGCTTTGGAAGTTCCTTAGAGTTTCTAGCTGTGCTGGCCAGTTATTCTGGCCTAATGCATTGGGGTGGGGCAATGGGTACCATTCATGATGGTGTTGGGCTGCTTAGAACTTGTACAAGAATGGCTTAAAGTGACATCATCCAGTCTCAAATGTTTGATGCTGAAAAGACTCAGGACTAACAGCTTAGAAGGTAAAAGCCCCTACTGCTAAACTTTGGGACACTGTCTTAACTGGACCAAGTATATAGGATCTGTAGATACATTTGCATATTACTTCATTAAACAATGAATTAGAAAATCTTGAGAACTTGCTTTAAGAAATAATATTCACTTTTTTTTTTTTTCTGGTCATGGGACCATGTATGATTTGTCTTCCACCTCCTGATATTCCCCTCACTCACTTCATGACTTCATCATACTGGTTTCTATTCTGTTCCTCAAAGATTTCTCTTCCTGGGGTGCTTCTCCCTAGCTTTTTGTGTGGAAGACTCATTCTCATCTTTTGGGTCTTGGCTCAAATATCATTTCCTCAGTAGGGACTTCTCTGACTACAGCTGTTTTCTCTGACTACAGCTGACTATAGCTGTCTGAAGTTTCCTACTTCTTTTTCTCCTAATTTCATCATCCTATTTTTTAAAAATGTCCTTCATCTCACTCACCATAGGTTGTAAGTAACTTGTTAGTTTATTTACATTTACTTGTTATGATGTGCCTCTCCCTTCTTGTCCTGCCAGAATATAAGTTCCTGAAAGTCAAGAAACTTGTGAGTCTTGTAGACTTCCTTATCCCCAGTATTTAGCCTGGTGTCTGGTGCAAGTAGGTGTTGAATAAATGTTTTATGGGTGAATGAATGCATGAATGAAAAAGTGAATAAATGAAAGAATGAACAACATGTTTACTTTATGCATGCACTACATTTGAGAAGCTTCCAATTTTATTCAATAGACACAACAAAAGGAAAAACAGAAAAAGACTACAATTGTAAGAAATTGGAGAGATCAAGACTATAGATGCAATAACATCCAGAATTGTCAAAGATTTTATTTCCACCAAGAATATTTTGGGAATCTTTTGTAGAGGGCATGCTTCTTATGATGAATGAAGGATGAGAGAAGAGAGAGTATTTAAACAAACGTCTATGAATGGCAAGTTAATAAAAGTGAAAGTTAAAAAGACAATATATTTTCTATTTGTGTTGTTATTTTGATAATAACAAAGTTATGATAAAGTGGGGGAACCATTGAAGATCTTATGTGAGGGGAATGGGGGCAAGATAAACAATTCTGTATGTTGCGGCAACTATTCTTCTCCATTGTGAAAGTGAACCAATGATTGACCTTCAAAATGACCATCTAGGAAATTTAAAAATTGAAGTAGGCTTGGGTAAAAGTCAGACCATGGGCCATGAAAGGTAGAAGCCTCTTTTCTGCTCTTCAGCAGAAATCTTGAGGCTAAACCTATTATTCCTACTGCTGTGGGTTCTTTCAGAGCAGAATTAAACCATTTCAGAAAATAGTTATATGTGTGAGTTGGAGTTCAGAGGAGAAAACTTACTTTAGAGCTTGATATTTAAAAGATACTTGTTATGCATCTTTTTAATAAATCAATAACAAAATCGAGAATTAAGTCATAATGAACTGGTATCTTGGAGATACATTCAAACTTCCATTAGGAAGACTGGCCTATTTATAAAATCTGCCCACTTTTAACCTGGTATCTCAAAGAAAAGCTAAGGTCAGCTGTATAAGTTGAAATCACTGCATTATTATAACATCAAGGAGGCAAGATGCTTCATATCCCATGTATCTCAAGAAAGAAAAAAGCTGGCTAAGTTGATAAAGGGAACTTGCAATCCAGAACCTTTTTTTTTTCTTTTTGGCACTAAAAGAGGAAATTTAGAGAAAAGCCAAGATGGTAGACAGAGGTCTCAAAGTTCTGGCCTGGAGGGAAATGAGGTGAACATAGGAGTTAGTGGCTTATGAGAAGAGGTAGCTGCCTCAAGACACCTGAGAAATTTTTTGTAAACATAGAAGTAAATCCAAAGAGAGTATTTGTATATTCAAGTATTATCCCTAAATAGCCCCCTGAAGTATTCTTCCTTGACATTGGAGTAAAGAAAGATAACTCAAAAATGCAATTAAGTCTGCTGTTTGGCATTTTTAATCTTCCTTTATTTGGAATTTTCTTTGTTTAGTTTTATTTTGGTTTAATCAACTTGATGTTGCAAGTATTTTTTACCCACATTATATTATGACATGAAAAAACATTGTAGCTGAAAGAATAGAGAAATAACCCATGAAACTGATTAGGAAATCATAGTCTCTTATATTAGTGTGTTTTAAAGCATAATAGCACCTGGTTGTAGAGGCTTCTGAAGTGCAGAGAATCTCACACTCATGAGTGCTATCTTGAGGGCATATTCACAGTAGCCACCTTATCCAAGCCACTCAGATACTTTGGGCTTAGCTTTTAAAAATGACCTGCAGGAGGGGACCAGGGCCATTGAAAGTAGTAGAAACAGAATTCACAACCAGAATCCAGACCTCATTCAGCTCAATGGGCCTCTTTCATCTCTAAGGACCCTCACCTAACTCCCTGGCTAGTGACCATCACTGACCCAGGATAGTAACCTCGGCCCCTCCATGGATTTAAGATTAAGCCTTGCCAGTCCCTGGAAACTCTGATCAGAAGACCAAGCAGCAAGTTTCATGACTGACCAGAGAATATAATTTCTCAGTCTCATAAGCCTTTGGGTTCAGAAATTTTAGTTGAGATGCTCTTGTGACTTATTTGGTGTCTGCTGGCTGCCTCTCCACTTGCCCGTTTGGTAGTCACCAACCATCTCACATGCGTGGATGGCACTTTCTAGCTAAACTTAATCACAGTCCCAACAGGCCTAAGGAATCTCTTCAGTTCCTGTATAAGGAGTTGGTAAGGTTGGCCTTTTCTTTACAGCAGAGCAGATTTTTATGGAACCCCTCTGGAAGATTTTACTGTAAGTAAACGGACCATTGACTAGAAAGCCAGAACCAGTGTTTCCAAGCCAGTGCAGTTAACACTCATGTATATGTGAGTGTGAAAAGCTTGGGCCATATAATCAGCATTATTTTATCAAGTGTTTTTGTGTTTTATTTTAAAAGCTTTGAATAACATCTTCACTGTGTCCATTGTTATCACACCCAGTGAGCCAAAATATCAGTGCATACAGTGAGCTCCAAGAGTGGCCCAATTTGGGATTTAAAAGGTGTGTTTGAGTTAAAAGCATAAAAAGCCTTAAACTTTTAAAACTGCAGACTATTGTATCCTTCTAACTCCAGAACAGCTCCGTCTAATGCTGTCCAACTTGGCAATAAAAACAAAATGAAGAAAGCCGAAACACTTTTAGACTCACACCAAGTATGCAGTATTTCAGCCTGACAGGATTATTCCTTGGCTGGAGTGACTTACGTTGGAAGGGGAAGTTTGCATGGAAATGCCTTTGAGGTTAATTGTAATGTCATTAATGTGATGTTATAATCACATCTCTGAATTTCCTTCATAAATTTCTTTTCTATTTTTATCCTGTTTTTATTTTTAATACACTACTTTCTTGAAAAAGTCTACTGTAGTCTCACGAAAATACAACTCCCCTTTTTTAAAGCCCCGTGAAAAACTGGTTTTTGCATAAACTGTAGTTTATAAAAGCATGGTCATCTGTCCTCTCCTGCTTTGCAGTTCCTTTTTAGTCTTTGATCGTAACATACGCCTGCATCATGAGTGACTTTAAATGATCAAATTCAAGTGGCAGCAGATATTGCACTGAGCTTAGAAAAAACAGGTCTTGTGCTAGTATTTCCATTATGACTGTTTAGTATAGTATTGCCCGGAATATGGCAAAACCACCAGAGATAATTCTTTTTAAGAAAATCATCTGTTTAGCCAAATCTGTGGTAGATTTGCGGCACAGACTACAGTAGAGGAGGAACTCAGTATAAACCACAGAAACTGCTCAGGAACGCTGCAAGGCTGTTGTAATCAGATTGCTTGTAGCTACTTGGGCTGTTGTTGGTTCCGTCTGTTGTGATGAGAGCACAGGGCTAGCTACTAGGTTCTCTGGCGTTCCCAGCATTGTCTGTTCTGTTGACCTTTGAATGTATTTGTCTCAATTGTTCTTGGGCTGTGGGAGAAAGACTTTCGGATGAGAAAACAATGGTTCCCATCAGGGACACTGCTCCATACCCACCCTTTGTTTTGGGCTCACTTTCACAGCAACAAAATCCCAAGTTTGGTCATGCTGCCCTCCTGCCTCCTATGTGCTGATTCCCACTTCTGAAAACACATCTTGAATGTGCCTCTTGAAATGTTGTCATTTTTCTAATCTTGTTTCCTTTTTAAAACAAGCATTTTATTCCATGATTTGCACAGTTCTGCATCTATATCAATGACTTTTCACCCATTCCCCCTTTCCAACGCATTTCTTGGGCAAAAGTTTGTGTCCAGCCTGCCATTCAGGAAAGGCAAAGGTTTAGCTCAAATGTGCTACTTTGTGGTAGATGGTTGGGGTCAAAGCCTGTTCATGAGATCTCTGTCCCCATAACCAGAAAACAAATCCCACTGATACCTACCAATCCTTATGATCTGATACAGAGAAAAGAAAATCTATACAGAATTCTCAGAAACATTTACTCTATAGGGCATTTAGCAAATAAATTTCTGGTGTAGGAAAAATAGGATATTATACCAAAATTACAACAGGTAGGAGACAGAATTTTAAAAGTAAGGATTATGATATTCAGAATTTATTTATATGTGTACCTGCTCTCTCTCTCTCTGGGTATATTTTATAATCAAAATATTATGAAGAAAGTATGTATTTTATTTTGCTTTTTCTCAGATGGTAAGATGTTTATATTTATTTTGTTGTTCTGTAAAAATGATCTAGTCCTTTTTCCCATTAGTGAGCTCTTGCTAATATTAGTACTGTGTACAATCTGGGCCTGCTCTCACCTTTCTCTAGAAATCCATCACCATGACTATTTTATAAAATAGTGAGTTTGACTAAATTGCCCGAAGATTCCTTTTTCACAAAAGGAAGCTGTGGTGTCCAGCCAATGACTTGCCTAAGGTCACACAATGAAAAAACTAAAGATGGGTGAAGTTAGACACCTCTTAAACATAGGGCAAGGATTTCCTTTTATAGCCTATGAACATCTACTCTCAAATCAAATGATTTCAGAGATTCTCCTGCCATTGCCCTGTATACAAAAAACAAAAGCAAAATTTTCTTCCATACATGGGAGAAATAGAACTGCTTTTAATGAAGTTCTGAGATTCAGCACAGTCAGTTAAATTCCTTCCAGTTGATAAGCACTTTATGTAAGACCTCTGTAAGTGAAACCTGAAGAACTCCTTTGATTCCCCTTTCCATTATTGATCATTGTTTATAATCTCTTGAACAAAGAGAATACATCTACATTTTATATAGATGTCTAAAGGGAAACAAATCTAGTTTTAATTCCGTGTTATGGTGTTGGTTTTAGGACCTTGGGCAAGTTGTCACTTGATTTTCTCATAAATAAAACGGGGAGAATAACTGTACTTCCTTCGCCCATAGTAAATATTTGATAAATATCATCTCCAGACCTAGAACCAATGTGGAGAAGTTCCAGAAAAGATGTATTGTTACAGTTTATGAAATTCATAATACGTAATTCACAAAGTTTAAATAGATAAAATACTTCATATACAGTTATTATAAATTCCTTTATTCATCTCTATAATAGTTAGAAAAACTTATTCTGAGGGACTATAGGTCCTGTGGAAACTCACACTCCACTTCTACTCTTATTCTTTTTTTATTCAGGTGATATTAGATATAATGAAGACTAACAGTAGTGTTCAAGGTTACCTTTAATGCATCCAGGGTTACCCATAATATTTATTTTACCTCTTTGCACCAGCATTAAAAAAGAAGTGTGAGGCAGGGGTGGTGAGAGAATACTTTGAAGAGAACAAGGAGATAAATGACCATCTAGGTTAGGCAAGATGGGGACGTGCTCAGAAATTATTTGTTAAGTTAAAGAATGTTAAAGAGACAATGGAAGTTTATGTAATAAAATAAGGAGTCCTTTGCTGATTTCTCTTCTTCTACCTCACAGATAGTTTTTGGGCCATTCTCTTTGTGGGTTGCTTATTTCCCGCACCAGTCTGTGGCCCTTAAAGCAAGGGTCTTGGCTGGGCATGGTGGCTCACGCCTGTAATCCCAGCACTTTGGGAGGCCGAGGCAGGCGGATCACGATGTCAGGATTTCGAGACCAGCCTGGTCAATATGGTGAAAGCCCCTATTTACTAAAAATACAAAAATTATCCAGGCGTGGTGGTGCATGCCTGTAGTCCCAGCTACGCAGGAGGCTGAGGCAGAAGAATCACTTGAACCCAGGAGGCACAGGTTGCGGTGAGCTGAGATCGCACCACTGCACTCCAGCCTGGACGACAGAGCAAGACAGTGTAAAAACAAACAAGCAAACAAATAAGGGTCTTAGGACGAGCTGCCTAATATTTCATCTTTGTCAGCAAGAAAAGAAAGTAGAATAGAATATCTTTGGGTATGGGCCCTGTTTTTGAATTTGGTGTAGGGTGTTTTGAGAGAAGATACAGCTAAGATCACCAGTCCTTGATAAGACAGGGTTTCTTTTCTCATATGTGCTTCAAAAGTCACAAATAATCATCCTGACTCTCCTTGGCCCACCTCAAACCACTCTATCCCCATTGGTTTGGATATGGTCAAGTCCAGACATGTCCCTCTAAGCAGCCAGGGCAGCAGAATCTCTACTTAACTAACATTAGTTCTTAATAGACTATGGGATATTGAACATAAAATCCGAATAGCTCTCCACTTGTATTTAGGATGCATTTAACATTTTTCTCATAGTGTCTATATTTTTATTATTACATAGTTAAGTAGATCTTATGCTAAAATTCACATAATGATACTAAATATATTCTCTATAAAACTCATTTTGGAGCCCTCTGGATCAATAAATTGGTTAGCATTATCAATATCATCTCTGCTTTGACATACCTGAAAATCACGTTTCTTTAAGTTAGGTAAATATTTAAGTATGAGAAAAATCTGACCAATGTATTTAGCAGACTTTGTGAATTTTTTTAAAAAAGATTGGTTTTGGAAAATACACACATACATTTTGCCAAGAACTTGCCCCCTAATGTTTAATCTTGTGGCTTTCAGGGGAAATCTAATTTGTATCCTTCGTTTATGCTCGACTCAACAGATTGTTGCACTGTTAGCCAAGTGCTGGATGGTCTTACAGCCCATGGGGCTTTTCAGGTTTCTTGATTCTCTACGGGCCCCCTTGCCTTGCTTCTCAGTCCCTGGTGGATAATGAATGCCATACATTTTAAACTCAGGCCAACTATTCAAAAATTAAGTCACACTACAAACAATGAGCTATCTCAGTATTTGTGAAAACTGGAGAATTATTTCTTTCCCTTCTTCCCATCCCCAATGGCCACTCAGTTTTTACTGTGAGGTTTACTGGGTAGCTGAAGATGATGACTGAAGGAAAGGATATTCCACTGAAGTGATAGACTCAGGATAGCACTGTACTTTTCTATATGTGGGTGACAGTGGCCTGGGAAAGTGTTGGGGCTGCGTTTTGAGAACCCTAGGAAGCCATGGCATCCCCCTCAAGCCATTCAAACACCAAAACAACTCATTTGGGTTTACGTTGTGTTGGATGACCACTGCAGCTTAATCAAGACTTCTTCTTGCCATTGCTTTGAATTTCCATCCACTTAGCCAGTATTGCATGCTCTATCACTGCCAGGCCTTTGTTCTTCCACAGATACTCCTTGGCCCCTTTAGAACACAGTAACAGTATTGTTGGTGATGAAGGGCAGATGGGAAGGAAGGCTTGAAATGGGCCCAGCAGGAGCTGACGTTCTCTATCTCCTCTCAGATTATTTTCTCTCTTACCCTCTAGAAAGCTCCCCATCATACTCCTTAGTATCGATACCACACCATATCCTAGATGAAAGGCACCCCCGTCAGTGGGGCATAGAAAAAACCTAGGGCACGGTAGTCAACTAGAGTATTCCAGTGGCTCAGAAAAAAATTCTGAAGCACTCTTCCTTTTCTTGTGAAGAGCTTTTGGGGTTTAATAATGGCAGGAGTTCCAGGTTGCTCTGCTTCTCTTGGCCAGGCACTTAACCTACAGGAGGTTCCACCTGAGGTCATGGGAGTCACTACTAGTGGCTTGGAACTTGAGGAAGAATAGAGGGGCTCACGGTCCAAATCAGAGGAGATGGAGTTTCTGACTTTCAGAGTAAAGCATGAATACCTTTTCCTATGTACATACTGTTAAATCAAGTGGTTGGATATTGTAGTACTATTACTATCAATAATAGAGTATTTGTTCTATTATAGTATAACTGTAATTCTTTTTACATTAAAGTAGAACTAGGACAAACTATACCATTTGTCACATTATTTCCCAGGGTTCTAACTCCAAGAAATGAGTTCTAATTTCCCAGCAATAAATACACAGTTGAACTTTATAACCTATCACATTTTTTAATTGGAAGTTACTTTATCTTCAAACCTCCTGTTAAAAATATAGGACTTTGAAATACTATGCAGCCATAAAAAAGGATGAGTTCATGTCCTTTGTAGGGACATGGATGAAGCTAGAAACCATCATTCTGAGCAAACTATCACAAGGACAGAAAACCAAACACCACATGTTCTCACTCATAGGTGGGAATTGAACAATGAGAACACTTGGACACAGGGTGGGGAACATCACACAATGGGGCCTGTTGTGGGGTGGGGGGAGGGGGGAGGGGGGAGGGATAGCATTAGGAGATATACCTAATGTAAATGACGAGTCAACGGGTGCAGCACACCAACATGGCACATGTATACATATGTAACAAACCTGCATGTTGTGCACATGTACCCTAGAACTTAACATATAGTAAAAAAAAAAATATAGGACTTTGAAAATGAAATTTGCCAGTATGAAAGCAGAGATACTTAGAGTCATTCTTATACCACAGAATTAGCGATTACTGTATCCAGTCTCACCATTTTATAGATGGGGAAACTGAGGTCCAGAATGGTTCTTCTGTGATCCCTTAGTATTTCCTCACTTTGCATTTTCTTTTAGAAAATGTGAAAAAAATCTAATTGTTCCATGAAAGAAGGCACCGTTCATTATTAATGGAATTTCCTTTTATTCAATTTTGCAGTGTCTGCAACAAGATTATGAAAATGATAATTTGATCTAGAAGTCTTTCCAGCTTCAGCAAGGTTACTTTGTGGAGTTGGAGATAAATGACCAGAAGAAAACTTCACAAAATTAGTGTTTACACTTAATCTGGCAATGAGCTATAATTTGATTGGTAAAAAATTCATTTGGTGTACCTCTGGCCCTTTGCTGCTGGATAATGAAAATTTATATCTGCGTTTCAGACATCTGGGGAGGGCCTGACAGCTTTGGGGCTGAATGAAAGATGATGTCACACTGACCCCTGTCAGCATTTCCTCATAGACTGGTTACCCAAAACCCAACAGCACTCACACTTTTTTTCCCCGCTGCCAGAGCAGACTCTCATTTTTATTTTGGAAAGTTAATGACACTGTAAATCTAATAGGCCATTTTAGTGCCATCATGTGGATATTAAAAAATCATGTGACCAGTCAGGGCACCATATGTGGGCTTCACTGTTGTCTAATGGCAGGAATAAGAGGCTGTAACAAGGTACTGAGGGCAGCCAGTGTTTGGAATTAATTTCGAAACCATAGCTACCTTTAAACTAATTCTGAATCTCTGCTAATGATTATTGTTTGCCATTTCAATTAAGTTTGCTTTAATTAGCTAGCTAATATCAGATTATGTTGGACCTCAGAAAATAATTTACCACTTATAAATTGATGAGTAACTCATATTCTGTGGCACAGCACTGACCCATAGAACTTTCTGTGACGATGGGAATGTTCTCTGTCTGTGTTCTCCAGTAAGGTAGCCTCTAGCCACATGTGGCTATTGAGCACTTGAAACATAGCTAGTGATCTACGGAAATGATAATTTTAAGTAATTAAAATTTAAATAGTGACATGATGGCGCAACTATAATGTAAGACTAGAATATCAGAAAACAACAACAAAAAAGCATTTCCTTCAGGTATCTAGTCTGCCTTTCATTGGTGCCATAGTGGAAAGGCCAAACTACCTGGTGACAGAGCTGAAGTCTGATTTACCTTTGTATCATCATAATGCCTTTTGGACAGGGTAAAAATATTTAGAAGCAAGTGATGCATAAACGAGTGAATGAAGTGGATACGTAGATAATGAATAAATGAATGCAAGCAATTTAAGTGATTTTTTTTCTATTTTACCAGTTCTTGCTGCCCTTTTCCTGAAGGACACGTCAGCCAAAAGTTGTGAGATTTGACAGCCAGATGAATTCTTAGTGATCACTTAGCCCAACCCATTCAAAACCAGACCAGAGTGACTTCCAGGAGCTGCCACTGGCTTTTTTTTTTTTTTTTAACATCTCTTTACGTCTCCAAAAGCTGTGCTCTTGAGTACAGCAAAAAGCCCATGGGTCCAAGGGGGCTAAAGGTAACTGGGCACACAATTCACACTCTTTCACAAAAGAAGGTGGGAAGGCAGGAAACAATTATTTTTGGATGCTAGGGTAATTGTGTAGCCAGATAGAAGTATGTAAAGGGAAATTGAAATAATTTCTGAGTTTACTCCAAAATGTTACCGAAGTATTTAAAAATAACCATTAATGACTGTTATCTAATGTTAGCCTCATAAAATTAGGACAAAGGTGATAGTTCTGGTGAAGAAGAAGATGATGATGATACTATTAGTTAACATTTGTTTACTGCATATTGTTTCAAAAATGATGCTAAATTCTATGTAAGGATTACTTTAGTTAATCTTTGCAACACTGCAAGATAGTTCCAGTATTTGCCCATTTTACAGATGAGAAAAAGAAGAGAGTGTAAGTAGCTTGCTTAAGGTTATGCAACCAATACAAGGCATAGATGGATTTTAAATCCAAACAGCCTGATTCTAGAATTACATCTTTAAACATTATTGTATAGAGTGCCTTTCCCTAATCTTCTTCTTCGATTTTCTTCCTACTTTCCTTCCTTCCTTTATTCATTGATTTAGCAAATGATTTTTAAGCCCCAACTATGCGCCGGATATTGTTCGAGCCTCAGGAAATACACTAGTCAACAAGACAGACAAAAATTCCTGCCCTTATGGTCTTTCTCTTCTACTGGTGAGAAAAGACAATAAAAAAGTTAAGAAAAAAGTGTAGCTTATTGGCAGGCACGGTGGCTTAAGCCTGTAATCCCAGCATTTTGGAAGACCCAGGTGGGTGGATCACCTGATGTCAGGAGTTTGAGACCAGCCTAGCCAACATGGAGAAATCCCGTCTCTACTAAAAATACAAAAATTAGCTGGGCGTGGTGGTGGGCACCTGTAATCCTAGCTACTTGGGGGGCTGGGGCAGGAGAATCGCTAGAACCTGGGAGGCGGAGGTTGCAGTGAGCCAAAATCGAGCTACTGCACTCCAGTCTGGGTGATAGAGGGAGACTCCATCTCAAAAAATAATAATAAAAATAAAATTAAATGCAAGAAAGATAAAATAAAGCAGGTAAGAGGAATATGAAGTGTTAGCAGGTGGGAGGAACAGGTAGAAATTTTAGGTAAGGGAGGTCTCACTGAAAAGGCAATATTTGAGAAAAGAAGCAAGTAAGTGTTCTTTTCTTTTCTTTTTGCTTGTTTTTGAGACAGAGTTTCACTCTGGCTGGACTAAACAGCTCACTGCAGGCAGCCTCTGCCTCCCAGGTGATCCTCTCACCTCAGCCTTCCCAGGTAGCTGTACTACCAGTGTGCACCACCATGCCTGGATAATTTTTTTGTATTTTTTTGGAGAGACAGGGTTTCATTGTATTACCCAGACTCATCTTGAACTCCTAAACTCAAGTGATCCACCTGCCTCAGCTTTCTTAAGTGTTGGGATTGCAGGCATGAGCCACCGTGCCCAGTCTTATTTTCTAACTATATAGTTAGAAAATGTATATTTATTTACTTATATTTATATTTGTTAAAATGTATATAATTGGAATATATTATATATTAGAATTATACATATTAGAATAATATATATATTAGATCCTTTAAAAAAACTTAATGAGATGGTTCCTAGGTTAGGAGGTAAACTTATAGTTAACTGTATTCTTGATAAAAAATTAGGATGATTTTATATATATATACACATGCTATTATTATATATAGCAAACTAATGTATATAATATATATATACCATTATATATATACACACACCTATATATGTAATTTAAATTTATGATGACAGTGGATTTGGGCATGCAAGTGTGACAGACTTTCTCTCACTCCTTCTACACCACACACCCACCCCTACATATGTAGCTACATGTGTGTGCTCAAATATATAGTGGTGTATATATAGCATCCTGATTTTTTGCCAAGAAGAAAGTTAGCTATAAGTTTACCTTCTAACCTAGGAATGATCTCATTAAGTTTTTGTTTTGTTCTGTTTTGTTTTTAAGACGGAGTCTCGCTCTGTCGCCCAGGCTGGAGTGCAGTGGCGCCATCTTGGCTCACTGCAAGCTCCGCCTCCCAGGTTCAGGCCATTCTCCTACCTCAGCCTCCCGAGTACCTGGGACTACAGGCGCCCACCACCACGCCTGGCTAATTTTTTTGTATTTTTAGTGGATACGCGGTTTCACCATGTTAGCCAGGATGGTCTGGATCTCCTGACCTCGTGATCCACCCTCCTCGGCCTCCCGAAGTGCTGGGATTACAGGCGTGAGCCACCGCGCCTGGCCTATTAAATTTTTTTTTAAAGGACCTAATATAGATTGATATTCAAGTTGAGCCAGAGCTATAAAAAGCTAAGTACCTCTGTCTATGAAATTATTTTCAACTAATTCCTTTGATTCTGTGATACTTCGATGTTTGCTGTTATAGCGAGATGAGGATAATGTGCTGAATTTTATAGTTGTTGCAAAAAGCCCACAGCAGCAACACTGGGGCCCCACAGACACACATCCAAGATCATGACATAGCTCAGGAGACAGCACACACACACACACGCAGCTATATACGTAGGGGTAGGTGTGTGGTGTAGAAGGAGGGGGAGAAAGAGAAAGTTCTCTGTCACATTTGCACGCCCAAATCCACTGTCATCACAAATTTAAATTGGATACGGTGCAACATTGTCTGTCAAAATAAAACTGTAAGAGTAAGTAAAGAGAGAACTTTTTAATTCCCTGAATGATTTTGGGCAAGCAGTAGTAGGCTTTTTGATGCCTAATACAGAATGATTAAGAAATAAAAGTTAACACTGATATGGACTGCATTCTGTAGTATGTGAACACAAAAAGGATACTTTCCTAATTGGATACAGTATTCAAAATTCCACAAGTTCTGAAGTCACTGTGTGAGACCACAGGTTACAGGCTTTTCTGAGAGACACTCTGCCTCCCCCTGCCTCACCCTGGATGCATAGCACTCCTTGATTTGTAAAATACTCATTCCAGTCAAAAGGGAAGTGTCCTTTTGTGATCCCTGGCATCACTTCCTGTTTTTCCTTGTAAACTTCCCACCCAAGCTGTGGCATTATTGGGATCATTGCCCGAAGTAACTTTCCATTACATTGACAAGTCAAGTGCATACATCTGATTTGAGTGTCATCCTTCCTCCAGATTTCAAAAATTCTACTGCAAATTAAACAACCCAGCTCTTGTGATCCCTGTTGAAAGTTTTATCTTCTTAAAGATCATTCTGAAAAATGAAATTTTTTCATGTCACACAATTTTGATTAATGGATCCTTTTTTTTTCCTGTAACTTTTCAGAATTTGTAGACTTCTTAAACCTAATTTATTTTAAAAGCACACAGTAAGATGTCTCTTCCCATTAAAATAAAAATATATTTCTCTTCTGGATTATCAACCTATAAGCTATATTGCTAAACTTTTAGCTTTACATGATTTATAGTAGTCAAATGATTACTGCCCTAAGCATTAATTTCACTATAGAGCTATTAAAATATTTAATTAGAGTCACTGATAATTTAGGATGTATAATAAAATTGTTGTCAAGGCCATGTTGTAAATTCTGATTATGTTTGTAGATGAGTGAGAAAAACTACCCTATGCTGAAATTTTTATAAATTTTGAAATTATGGGGATTATATATATATATATTACATATATATTTTATTTTGTAAAATAAAATATGTAAAATAAATATATATATAGTTTTTTGAGATGGAGTCTCGCTCTGTTGCCCAGGTTGGAGTGCAGTGGTGTGATCTCAGCTCACTGCAATCTCCACCTCCTGGGTTCAAGTGATTCTGCTGCCTCAGCCTCCCAAGTATCTGGGATTACAGGTACGTGCCACAGTGCCCAGCTAATGTTTGTATTTTTAGTGGCGACGGGGTTTTGCCATGTTAGCCAGGCTGGTCTCAAACTCCTGACCTCAGTGATCTGCCCGCCTTGGCCTCCCAAAGTTCTGGGATTACAGGTGTGAGCCACCGTGCTCGGCCTATTTATTTATTTTTAAACATTTCATGTATATAGTAGTGAGGTTATGTTAATTGTGCATAATTTACGAAAATGCTAAATATTTTGCTTTTTAAAAATCTTTCTGAACTTGAGCAGTGTTATCTTTAAGTACAATGTTCTAGTTTATTACAAACCCAAAATGTAATCCTATATCAGAATCTTTCCTTTGTGTTATATATTTTATTGTCTCCACAAAAATGTTTTATTAAAAAAAAAAGACTCCAAGAGTCTAGCTATAGTTCATGTATGCAGGCAAGAGGTGGGAATTCTCTGTGAATGTCAAATAGAAGTTAATACAAACCCATGTAGTCATGTTTACTCAGGTGCCAAAATCCAGATCATTCTGTTATGAGTTCATCTTCTAAATATATGGCTCTGGCTATCTGCGGATCATCCACCCTCCTGTTACCTACTTGTGCAAGGAAGTCAAAATGAACCCACAGAGATGGGGTATCTGTCGGTTGTTCTCTATGGTATCATACCTGTTTATTTGTGTGGCTAGTAGAGACTAAACTTCCTCAGTAGATTTTTATGACTTAAATTATAGGGTAATATATTTATTCTGTTTTAAGTAACTCCGTGTAAATGGTGGCCACGGCGATAGCTTAATGTGCGTTTTTGTTTTTGTTTTTGTTTTACAGATAAACACTGTCAACTTTTTATTGAGCTACCTACAGTATTTTTGCTATGCATATCTGTATATCTCTTTTGCAAAATTAAGATTGCATTTTCATAATTTTATAAACTATTTTTCTTACTTAACAATATATTGTGAAATTTCACAAGGCTTTCCCCCAATATTGTAAAGTGTTTTCATGAATATTATTTTAATGTACTAGATTGAAACATATAGAATTAGTAATATTTAATGTTTTTTAACCTATAGTGTACTTTTTTTTTTTTTTTACTAGAGAAGGTTTGTGTAAATTAGCAGTACATTTATTTCTTCTCATTTCAGAAATAGCAAAAATGTATGCAGGAAATGGGGGAAGCCAGAAGACCTTGCAACCTGGCAGCCAGTGGTCAGATGTCATTTCAGAGATTTGGGAAGGTTTCAACTATTGCTTTTAAGATACACCTATGCCTAAACACCACTAGAAATGACACAACTTATTTCTATCCCATAGGCTTGAAATAAGTAAGAGAGAGTTGCTATGAATTTGGTTAAAAGAGTAAACCTAGTGAGAAAAAAAGTAGTTTAGATGGTCGTCATTTTGACATCAAATGATGGCAACCAAATAAGGTTATTTTCACCATCATACCATCAGAAAAGAAAGATTCGGGATTTGGAAATCAATGAAAGCAGCCAGAAAACTTCCCTATTGTGCAACAAACAAGACGTGGAAACACTCGTGAGTTGACTCTACTCAGAGGTCCAGAAAAATAAAGGTTGACACTAAAATAACTTTGGCTTACATACGACTCATGGCAAATGCTAAATAATGAAAAAATATGCCTTTCAGGTCTAAAATTTTCTGGGTTGTGAGAAAACATGAAGCATAAATCATATCAAACTATTCCTGGCATTAGGCCTTCAGGATGCATTTGTTTGAAATCAAGGGCCAAATTGCCTGGAAGAGCGAAAACTGCTAGATGCCAGCTGAGGCGGAATGCCAGCCTTGGAACTGACACATCATTTCTGGAGAGATCCATATGCACGACCCTAGTTTGTCTTCAAAGTGGTTCCCTTGAATTGATTTTGTAAATTAACAATATTAGGCCTTCTGTAGGATAGAAAGTGCATTAGTCACACTGCTCTTACTTTACCCAGCAAGGAAATCTATTGTTCTTTTGTAATAAAATGGTTCTGGAAGGGGTGAGGGTGATTTTGCCACATCAGGTAAAAGGAATCACATTTAGTTTTCAGGCAGGTTTAATGAGGAATTTTAATAATAAGAGTAAAAAGTCAATGAGCATAACTTCACTAAACAACTCTTAAAGGAAAGCTGAGCCGGCTCCTGTTTTCACAAATCTATGTAACCATCGTTGAATGGGTTCCAAGCATCAATTGTTCCCAGTGAGTAAGGACATAGGATATGGCAAAAACTCACAGCAATTTATTACCAGAATGTTTTAAAAGAAATGGAGGATTTCAGAAAAGGAGGAGCTCCACGGATTCATGTTTAAATTCACCACAAATGATTTATCTTTGTGTTCCATTTCTTGTCCAAGGTCGGTTTTACACACCATGTAAAATTGCTTCTTTTGAAGAAAGTCTGCTTTTTTAAAAAAAAAAAAAAAGGAAAGAGGAGGGGGAAAAAAAAGACAATGAGTCTCCTGGAAAATACTTCATAAGGCTTTTTTTTTCACATTAGTGTTTTGTTCTTTACTTTTGGAGGAGTTTAATCTGAGGAATATTGTGCAAGGAATAGAGTGGAATATAAAATAAAGTTAAACAAACATGGCTACTTTCAATAAATGATACTGATTTTCTAACAACTGCCTTTCTATTTTCAAAGCCCTATAAGAAAAGCCTGGGCTTTTAGGCTTTTAGTTTTCTAAATCTTCACATGCTCTGATTTTTGCAGAGGGTATTCACATTATATATATGTGTGTATATATATGTATATATATTTATAATGTAGATTTTGTATATATATAATAGATATTAGATATTTAGATATATATAATCCTATAGATTATATATATAAAATAGATACTAGACATATATAAATATATAATCCTGTAGAACTTTTTTTTCTGAAAACCTAAAGACTTATTTATGTTAATGGTAGAAAATTTTGCTGTAATATAAAATAATAATCAGTTTGTTGGCACCCTTAGTTAACAAAAATATGTTTATTAAAAATCTAGGTAGAAATGAATAGTTTCAGAATCATCTACTGCAACATTTAAAAAAATTCATTGTCAATTACTTTCTTTACAGGATTTATTAGTATTGGGGTACTCAATGACTTAAAGTCTAAACCAAAACTCTTTTTGCCTTATTGAATTCTAACCAAGAGCTTCTGAAAGCTATAACTGAAAAATGATTTACGAATTTGTTTTTAATCAAAATGGAGTTTCCTAGAATGAGTTTGTTTTTTTTTTTTTTTAAACACTCCTGGGCTCCATTATTCCTGTTTGTAAACATCAGTGTGTCCCTTCAAATATGTCTTTTCTATTTGTATTAAAACCTGATCATATAATTAAATTGAATTTGGCAAGTATATATCAGCCATCCACTATGTTTAGTTTAGTTCTTTTAGTTTAGTTTAGTTCTCTTTTCTACCGCTAATTCTACAAGCTGAGTGAGGCCTGCTAATTTCCACTGATGTTCATACATGTTAGTTTAAAAAAAAAGTTGGCTTTTACAAAGCCACAAAGGGGAACAAATATAGCTGTATTGCCTGTCTTAAACCAAAATGCTTTAGCAATTGAAAGATGGGGGCAGTGTAGACACTCAAGAAAGCTTTGGGATCTTTAGATGAATGGTATCATACAGATGTGTATTATTGCTAATTCTTTGTTCTCAATCACTTGTTTTCAAGGACACTAAAATCCATGTAGCCCCTAAAAAAGATAAATAAGGGCAAGTCACTTTTCTTCCTCCAGTCACAGACTAAAGAAATTATTTCAGATAATATATAGCCCTTCAGCCATGGGAGCAGGAAGTGTTTACTGCTCAAGTCAGGGTCTCAGTTGGTAAAATAAACGGAAACTTCTGGTTTAGTTTTAGGGCCTTCTTTCAAATAAAAACTTCATTTTCTCTGGGCAAATATATTGATTTAATTTTGTATTATTGGTAAAATATTCATAAAGTCAGGTCAGTCTTTAAAGAGTACCAAAACATAACTTTGCCGATTTTTTCTGTTTAAGGGCCAGCTAGGTTTGTTTAAAAAGAAAAACTTAAAGCCACCAAAAAGCCTATGGCATTTCTTTCTCTTATGATCTTTAAAACTGGTTCAGGCTCATCTGTTTGGAGTTATTTAGGTGTGTCCCTCTTTGAAAATGGGCCCCCATAACACTTTTTTAATAGGATAAAAGTTGAGAACATGGAGTCAAAATGGAGCAAAAAGTTGAATATTTCACATGGTATAAACATTTTTTTAATCAAAGGAAAAGAAAAGAAAGTTGCAAAAAAGCCAAAACATGATGAAATTATCTAATTTCTCATATATTCCTTTCTTTTTTCGTTGCTTTTTGTAATCTTCCAGAACACTTTTCAGTTTGGAGCCAAACCTAACTCTACTTTTTACATGCATATTTTTCACTTCTATAAAGACTCGTTAATTCAAAAGATATTTTTCAAGCACTTACAACATGCCTAAAGGATGCAAGTCAAGTATAAAGAAGAGAGATAACTATTTTTGCCCTCATGGAGCTTCCTTTCCTGTGATGAAAATTGATATTCTGTCAGTAAATAAATAGGTAAATTTCAAATAGTGAAAAGTATTAAAAAAAATAAAAAAGAAAGAGAGGAAGTAACAAAGTGGGGGTAATGTGACAGTAATCAAGTGACATTTTGACAGACATGAAACAGTAAATGCCTGAGGATAATAGTTACAATGAGGGGACTGCTTTAAAGGTGGAGGTGAGAGAAGGTTCCCTGAAAAAGTGCTATTTGAGTGTGGTCTGAATGATAGGAGGAGCTGGTGTGAAAACCAGGCAGGAGAGCATTCCAGGAAGAGGCCACAGCAGGTGTGAAGACCTCAAGGCAAGCAGGAGCTTGGCATATTTGGATAACATAAGGAAGGCCAGGAGCATAGTAAGAGCAATTAGATTACTAGGCTAGGTGAGGGCTAGAACTGGTAGTGGAGAGGTGACAAAGTGGAGGTAGCCAGTGTACTTTTGTTGCATATATATATATATATATATATATATATATATATATATATATATATATACATTGCTGACTAGAAGACCAAGACTATGTTATAATAGAAAGGTCAAGAGCTTTGGAATAGATTTAACATTGTTACAGATGTGCCTGTGTTGCCTGTTTTGTCTTCACATTGTTTTAAAAGACAGGGCAAGTAGTCATTTGTTAAATTTCCTCCCCTTACAAGCAGTTTAGCTTTTTTTTTTTTTACCTTCTCCCTTTTATTCATTGACATTACAGCTGATTACAGCCTCTGTCCTGCAGGCATTGGAGTATGGTAGAGCTATTCAGGTCATGGTATAAAGCGTCTGAGTTTTATTCTACATGTAGTAGAAAGCCATCAGAGCATTTTAACAGGGGATGGCATGATCTGATTTATGTTGTCTAATGATCACTCTGGCTGTTGTGAGAGAAGCAGTTGTGGGGTATTCCTGGAGATGCTGCTGCATTAAGCGATCATTTTGAGAAGTGTAGTGGAAGGAGAGAGAGAAAAAATGTGGGTAGTTCCTAGATATATTCTAATCAATCTTACCATTCAGATCATGTCCAAGGCCCCAAGGTATATTTCTCAAGCCCCATGAGAGTAGAAAGAATCCCCTGAAAGCTTTCTGATAGATTGAATGCAGATAGAGAAAATGAAAAAATCAAGAATAACACTCAGATGTTTGGCATGGGAAAACAGATGGCAGGTGGAGCCATTTTGGGGATAGAGGCAACTGAGAAAAGAGTGTGTTGGTGAGGAGTGTGCAGGGAGGAGGGTACTTCAAAAGTTCCGTACTAAGGAAACTAAATTTGAGATAGCTATTAAACATCCAGATTTAGATGTCAAGTAGGCAACTGGATACAAAGGTCTGGACTTTTGTCTAGTGAGGTCAAGACTGAGGATATAAATTTGGGAGCCATGAACACAAATGATCTTTAAAGTTCTAGAACTGGATGAAACATCTCAATAAGACAGTGCAGAAAGAGAAAGGAAAACAGCCTAACATGAAACCCTCAGAAACTACAACCCTGAGAGAAAGAACTAGTAAAGGAGATGGAGTAGAAACTGTCTGTGAAATAGGAAGCAAATTAGAAAGTTTGAGCCATGCAAATCTGTGAAAGAGCATATTTAAAGAAAGAAGTATTGGTCAGTGGCACATAATATCACTGAAGAAGATAGATTCAGAGACCATTGATGGTCAATTTGACAAGACCACAGAAGAATGAGGAGATCACTAACTTCTGTGTCATGGAGTGAGCACCATAGCAGAAGACAAGCAGATACACCATCCAAATAATTGAGATGGTGAATATGTAGCAGGGTGTTTTTGTTTGTGTGTTTAATTTTTCTTTTTGTTTTTTACTAATCAATCTCATCATTGAGATCATGTCCAAGGCCTCAGGGTATATTTCTCAAGCCCCATGAGAGTAGAAAAATCTCAAAAGAGAGAGATCGCACACGTTGCTGGTAGGAATGTAAAATGGTACTGCCACGTTGGGAAATAGTTTAGAAGTTTCTTACTGTATACTCCGGCAAGTCACTCTTAAGTAGTTATCCAAGGGCAATGAAAAAATAGTTCCACAAAAAGACTTGTGCACACATGTTTGACATACCATTAATCATAAAATCAGGACATTGAAACTGCACAAATATCCATTAATAGTTGAAAGAATAAATCCCTTTGATATTTTCATGTACTAGAATAAACAAGACTGAAATACTGATATATGCCACTCAATGGGCAAATCTCTTAGAGTTTGTGCTGAGGGAAAGAAACTGGACACAAAGAATCCAGGCTCTCTAATTGTATTTATATGAAATTCTAGGACAGGGAAACTAATCTATACTGATTAATAGAGGAAAATTAATCTATAATAATCAATAATTATTTAGGGTTGGGTGGAAAAGGGGAAACTGAAAGGAGGCATGAAGGAGCTCTCTGGGGAGGTGGAACTGCTCTCTATCTCAATTAGGGCGGTGGTTACATGGTGTATACATTTGTCAAAAGTTATCAGCCTACTTAATGTGAATGAATTGTATCTCAATAAAATTGATAGGGAGAAAGAGAGAAAGAATGAGATCTCTATTTCTTCTGATTAGCTTCTTTTGCCCTAAATCATTTTCTTATCACATTTGCAAGATCTTGATTATGTTGATAGCCCTTCATTTACTGTTTCATGTCAGTGAAAATGTCACTCAATTACTAATTTCTATTGCATATTAGATAGCTCTTTTTCACAGAGTAGCTAACAATAATGCCGCCGTGTTTTCAGAAATATGTTTCTTGGTACAGCTATTTTTGTTTTTTGTTTTTGTGTTTGTTTGTTTTTATTTTTCTTTAAGTTCTGGGATACAAATGCAGAATGTGTAGGTTTGTTACATAGCTATACATGTGCCATGGTGGTTGGCTGCATCTATCAACCCATCATCTAGGTTTTAAGCCCCACATACATTAGCTTATTTGTCCTAATGCTCTCCCTCCCCTCACCCCCACTCCCGACTGGCCCCAGTGTGTGTTATTCCCCTCCCTGTGTCCCACTTATGAGTGAGAACATGTGGTGTTTGGCTTTCTGTTCCTGTGTGTTAGTTTGCTGAAGATGATGGCTTCCAGCTTCATCCATGTCCCTGCAAAGGACATGATCGCATTCCTTTTTATGGCTGCATAGCATTCCATGGTGTATATATACCACATTTTCTTTATTGTGTCTATCATTGATGAGCATTTGGATTGGTTCCATGACTTTGCTATTGTAAATAGTGCTGCAATAAACATACATGTGCATATGTCTTTATAGAAGAATGATTTATATTCTTTGGGTATAAATCCAGTAATGGGATTGCTGGGTCAAATGCTATTTCTGGTTCTAGATACTTGAGGAATCGCCACACTGTCTTCCACGATGATTACACTAATTTACATTCCCACCAACAGTGTAAAAGCATTCCTATTGCCCCACAGCCTCACCAGCATCTATTGTTTCTTGACTTTTTAATAATTGCCATTCTGACTGGCGGGAGACAATATCTCATTGTGGTTTTGATTTGAATTTCTTTAATGATCAGTGATATTGAGCTTTTTTTCCTATGTTTGTTAGCCACATAAATGTCTTATTTTGAGTTGTCTGTTCATATCCTTTGCCCACTGTTTGATGGGGTTGTTTGTTTTTTTCTCGTAAATTTGTTTAAGTTCCTTGTAGATTCTGGATATTAGCCCTTTGTCAGATGGGTAGATTGCAAAAATTTTCTCCCATTCTGTAGGTTGCCTGTTCACTCTGATGACAGTTTCTTTTGCTGTGTAGAAGCTCTTTAGTTTAATTAGATCCCATTTGTCAATTTTGGCTTTTTTTGCAATTGCTTTTGGTGTTTTCATCATGAAGTCTTTGCCCATGCCTATGTCCTGAATGGTATTGCCTAGGTTTTCTTCTAGGATTTTTATGGTTTTGGGTTTTACATTTAAGTCTTTAATCCATCCTGAGTTAATTTTAGTGTAATTCAAAATAAGGTGAAAGGAATGGGTCCAGTTTCAGTTTTCTGCACATGGCTAGCCAGATTTTCCAGCACCATTTATTAAATAGGGAATCCTTTCCCCATTGCTGGTTTTTGTCAGGTTTGTTGAAGTCAGATGGTTATAGATGTGTAGTGTTATTTCTGAGGTCTCTGTTCTGTTCCATTGTTCTATATGTCTGTTTTGGTAGCAGTACCATGCTGTTTTAGTTATTGTGGCCTTGTAGTATAGTTTGAAGTCAAGCAATGTGACATCTCCAGCTTTGTTTTTTTTTTTTTGCTTACGATTGTCTTGGCTATACAGGCTCTTTTTTGGTTCCAAATGAAATTTAAAGTAGTTTTTTCTAATTCTGTGAAGAAAGTCAATGTAGTTTGATGGGAATAGAATTGAATCTATAAATTACTTTGGGCAGTATGGCCATTTTCATGATATTGATTCTTCCTGTCCATGATGGAATGTTTTTCTATTTGTTTGTGTCCTCTCTTATTTCCTGACCAGTGGTTTGTAGTTCTCCTTGAAGAGGTCCTTCACATCCCTTGTTAGCTAACACAGATATTTTGATCCTTACTTTAACATATAAGGTAATTTAAATAAAATATGCCTAAATATGTCCTAAGTGCTGCCATTACTAGTTTTGGATATCTATAATAATGCTATTAGATTGACATTATTTATTACCCAAATCCCACTGTGTCTTTCCTTTACTAGTAACTTGACTGCTTGAATTATAAACAGAAGCTGTTATGAGCTTTTGTTTTATAGACAGATAACTGGAGTGAAGGCATTTCACACAAATTGTACCACAAATTTTAATAAATGTACCCAAATCTTTTGCTATACATTATATATATAATATAATACATATTATATAATGTATATATAATGTAATATAACATTGTGTATATATACATTATATATTGTATATTTACACACATATATAAATATACACACACACACACACACACATATATATATATTGCTGACTAGAAGACTAAGACTGTGTTATAATAGAAAGGTCAAGAGCTTTGGAATAGATTTAGACATGAATCTCAGACTCGTTGCCAGCTGTGTGAGAGCAGGCAAATTCCTTCCTCTCACTGAGTTCTAATTTTCTTATCTGTAAAGAGGTAAAGTAATAATTACTTTTCTATCTTGTTATAGGGTTTAAAGATAACATAAGTTAAGTTTTCAGAACAGTGCTGACTTGTTATACAGGCTCAAGTGTGAAAGTTGAAATTCTGTATGTTATTTCTGTTTTCATTCACATCGTCAGCGTGGTCAGTGGGTGGTGGGGGAACAAGAGCTGCTTCTAAGTTTCTAAGGGACTGCCAATATTGGTTAAAATCATCTCTAAATTCTAAACTATCCTTTTGAACAACAAGGTGGCATTTGATGGAGCCTAACAGAAGACATGAGACATTACCTAAAATTTTTGTATCATTTGTGATTTTTGAGCCTTTGAAACAGAATATCAGGAAAAACCACCAATACCTGCACTAGGAAGCATTCTCCTTTTCTTAGAAATCTATGTAACTCTTCGTCTCCATAAGTAATCCACACTCTTTCTCACATTTATACACATATGTACTTATATGTAGTTTTTTCAGGGTTTAAGAAAATTAGATCTTTAAACCTGTACCACCAGGATTCTGAAAGCAAATAAAAGACCTTGCTATCCAGTAAAATTTTAGATGATCTTTTCTTATATCTATATTATTAAAAATAGTTTCTTATATCAGTGACTGCTGCTCTTCTGATTTTACCAGATATTAATTATAGCTTATCCTCTGCTTAACCTCAACTCTTACTGTAAATGTGACTTCCGCCCACTGTGTATCCAGATGGGATATTCTGAGATAGTCACTTCTTCCTGAGGATATGGAATTCCTTTCCAGGAAACATTGAGAACTATTCTTAACCTGGAACGCCTATCCATCTTGTGTCATCCTTCAGAGATACTGCACCTTCCCTGCTGCTTCTCCAGACATTTATATGCACACTGTTTATTTCTCAGCTATTTTAGGAACACCTTTCTTCCTCAATGATGAAAGCACATTACCATGAAGTGATTAGCTATGAATAATCTTATAATGCTTTTGTTTAGGAAAGAAGTCACTATGCCTCAAGATATTTTTGTTCTTTATGCTATATCATCATTTTGTTTACTAGAAGTAGTTTCAAACTGCTTTTAAAGTCATTTTTATTAAACATGATTTTTATACTTAAAATCTGTTTAATGTTTTCATTCAAATATAATAAAATCATAAATTATCTCTGAGCCAGTGTTTGTTAACTCTGGATATTCACTAGAATCATCTTGGAATTTGTTTTTTATGTATTATGCCTGGGCTACACACTTAGAAATTTTGATTTAATAAATCTGGGGTGGGACCTAGGTTTAATTTTTTTTTTTTTTTTTTTAAGAGGAAGTCTCATTCTTGTCGCCCATGCTGGAGTGCGTGGTGCAATCTCGGCTCACTGCAACCTCCGCCTCCTGAGTTCAAGCGATTCTCCTGCTTCAGCCTCCTGAGCAGCTGGGATTATAGGCACCCGCCCCCATGCCTGGCTAATTTTTGTAGTTTTTAGTAGAGACGGAGTTTCACCATGTTGGTCAGGCTGGTCTCAAACTCCTGACTTCAGGCAATCTGCCCGCGTCATCCTCCCAAAGTGCTGGGATTACAGGCATGAGCCACCATGCCTGGCCATAATTTTTAAACACTCTGCAGGTGATTTTTAAGTGGAACCAAAGTTTGAGAGCCCATATTTTGATGCAAACATTTTTTGCAAGCATTAAAACACTATACCTTTTGGGATGATCAAGAGTTCCATTAGATCTCAGAAGAGTCACTGAAGTCATAATTGCCAATGACTGTGATTATTAGATCTTTCAACTTATTTTTCACTAGGATCATTTTTCCTGCAAAAAGGAATTAGCCAAAGAGAGTATAATGTGCTGATAGTGCAGTGAGGAAAATGTGTAAGATTTGACCTTACTTTCATCCCAGTCCTGCCACAGACAGGCTTGGATTCCTGGACAAGATATTCTCTGGATGAGATTCACAAACATGACTACATCAGGAACCAGGATGGTGACATGAAAGTGTGAAACAGGAAGAGTGGACATTGGCAAGCAGGGGACTCACTTCTGTTCTAAAGGGGGCTGCGCTACTCAGCCCCAGCAAGTTGTTTCTAAGGGAAGATGCAAGTTAAGTGTTACCAAGTCTTTCCATTTTTAAAGAGAAGTAGAAATTTCCTTTTTGGGGTGAACATTTTCAATTATTATTAGCATCTAATCCCAACTTTTTGTTCATGTGATTATTATTTATATTGTGGGGCTTAATTTGGCCCCCAGGACACCAGTTTGCAATATCTGAGTTAAATGATTTCTAAAATTCATTCAATTCTAACACTCTAAAATTCTAAGCGATCTAATTTGGCCAAAACATGAAAATACTCCCTTAAGATGAGAAGCTTCTATTTGAATGTGTGTTTATGTCAATCTTCCTCTTCCTGAATCCTCCCATTTTTTAATTACCGCTGATACCCTTGGTCCTGGCAGCTTACTCTTTCTATTCTGACCCATCCTAGAGTTGACGTCTCAAGAATTTAAATAACTCTGGCTAGTACACTGTATTTACAATATATAGGGGATCCCGGTGTTATGTCAAAGGAAAGCCTTGTCTTAACTTTTCAGAAGGGAATGGAATGTACAGTACGGTGTGGCCTATAAATCATTTTCAAATTAGTATTCTGTACATCTGGAGAAGAGTACATTTCTACTCATGCATAAATTGCCTATGAACACATTTCAAAAACCTATGCTTAATCTTAGCAATGAACATTTCAAAAAGTAAATTAATATCTTCAAGGGGAAGAAATACAGTATATTAAACAGGAACCCACTAGAAACTCGATAGTTAAGAGTCTGTCAGCGTTTCCATTATAAACCCTGTTTTTGAGGGGTTTATAACTCACTTATAAAAATTCATTGTAGGCTGAGACTTGGCATGTAAGGTCTTAGCCTAGCAGCTTGATGTGATATTAGGTCTGAAAGACCTCAGATTCTTGTCAACGAGATACTATTTTAAGCCTCCAAGATGAGGTCTAAACAAAGACAGGGAGTGATTTAAACCCATAGCATCCAGGGACGGCAGAGGAAAACTGAAATAACTGCTTTAAGATCAGCAAGTTGAGCCTTGGTTTTGCAGAGTCCCACACTGTTGTCTACACTGAACTGTACATCTTGTACTGCAGAGGATGCGGTCAGCTTTATTTTCCTATTTGGGTCACACTCAATGTAACTTTAATTCCTCATTTGGTAGCTTAATATATTGTCTGTTGAGGTTACAGATTTAGATGAGTGTTTATAAATAAGGCGAATTAACATTGAACTTGTAACTCTTTTTTTCTTTCCATTTGATAAAAGATATTCCTAGGAAGTAGGAATAGAGTATAAAAATGTCTTAGGCCATTGTAAATTTCTTGTGTAAATAGCTCTGTGATATGTTGCATGTTTAAATTAGCACAATATGTATTCATTTTAAATATTGATCTTTAAGGAAGTCCTACAATAAATCTGAATACTCTTTTGCATTACTGTTTACATTAGGTCTACTATAGATTAAGAGACACAGTTCCCTTGTAAATTTGCTTGCAGAGTAGGCAGGGGCATATAAATAATTCTGTTTCCAATTATACAAAACAATGATGATAAACTATTGGGAGCTGTGGGACAATTGTGCAGAGCTTGGCTGAATCACAGACTCAGACCAGGCTTGTGAGTAACTGATGTGCAGCTGGAAATTGGGGCTATTGTCTAAATCAGGAAACAAATGAAAAAGGGGCATAGAACAAAATTCTATAAACGTAGCTCCATCAAGATGCAGTTCCTTTCCAGCTGTAAAGTTTCTAAAGAGTTACCAAAGCTATTTAAAAACATAAAGACAGAATTGTTTGGCTTGGTAATGGCAGCAATTTGTCTGTAACAATGTTAAGTATGTTGTGGTAACCTTCATGGGGAAAACCCTATGGATGGACTTGGTTGTGGTTTAGGGTTTCCACCTTCTCCCAGTAGCGGTTCCTTGGGCTGTGGCATGAACTGGCCTTTGAACAATTTGATAGCTCAACCAAATTTCAGCTAGGAATGTTAAAACATAATGATTGAAAATTAAGAATAAATTTACACCTAAGCCATATAATTCCAAGGCCAAGATCAACCCATTCTTCTTCACATTCCTATCATCTATTCAGAAGTGCAGATATTCACATGGAAATGAGGTTGGTTGAACTGTTTAGCTTATATTGGGAAACATATCTGCTAAGCAGCTGAGAAATGTATTCATTTCAGTCTTTCCATTTGACAAGGCTCATTCTCCCAAGTAAAATACTAAGAATGCAATGACAGCAACTGAAGCCGTTCCATTTCCTCTCCTGACTTTAATCTCTCCCTAAGAAAAATATTTCTTGAAATGCTATAATGTGTGTGCATTGACACTCTTACTTAGATATTTAAATAGGCTTGTCCTATTTATTCTCTATGTCTGGCAAATTTCTTTTAATGGTTATTTAAAGGAGTGTTAATTATTTTCCTGATTAATGATTATTATAATCATACAGTGCATTTTAGTTTATAAAGTGTATTCATGTGCATTATTATATTGTTACCTCATTGACATTATTATAAGAACTTTAGTAAATTAATTGGATCAATATTATTATTTTTATCCCTATTTTTTAAATGGTGAAAGTAAGTTCAGAGAGGTTAAGTGATATGTCCATGTTTACTCATCTAGTAAGTGTCAAACTTAGACTCCAATCCAGCTATTTAAACATAAATACCACGTTCTTTCCACTGTGGTATTAAAATGACATGTTTTCAAAAGGGCTGCATTTAGCCGAGGGAGTCCCACAGGAGATGTGTGTTGATCAATTGGCAAAATGCACATCAAGGATTCTTGCTATTCATCTCCATGTTGCTTCCTGTCGAGGTGAAGTGGGCAGTGTAAACCACGGACAGTTCTAAACTGTAGTTTTAATCAATGGCGCCAACGAAGTTCATAGGCTCACCTTGACCATGCTTATCCTCAATATACCATGAAAATGACTGCTAAAATAGTCCAAAGGTGAGAAATGAGAGGAAGTTGGTGAGAAATGGCAGGATGATGGCTATGTTGATTCCAGGGCTTTTTTGGTTTGCTATTTTAGAACTTTATTTGATCATTCTTTGCAGTCCCTTGTATATTACATTTCAAGAATATACACCTAATAAATCCATCTGCTTGCCTGGTGGAGCTGATTTTGATTCCCAGAAAGTTGGACTTAATTGTTAACTCTTTTTTTTTTTTTTTTTTTTTTGCTAATGGCAAGGTATTTTACCAGATGCTTTTAGTACTGAAAGAACTTTTGGGAGCAAGAGTTGGGTGAAATTTCTTGAGAAGTGTGGAAACTGAAGCAGCCAGTTGTACACTCCCTGGACATTGATGTACTCTTACACCGTGTCTGGTTAGGTGGAACTGTACCATAGAAATAATAACTATATTAAAAATGTAAAGGCCTCTCTGTACATTATCTCAGGGATACAGAGTATTATGTCACTACATTGGATTAAAATTTTAGATGCTGGAATCTTAATGTAAAAAGCTTCAAACCTTAACAAATAATACAGAATTTAGTCTATTTTGTTTCAAGGCTTTGATTTTGTACAGAATTTCTGGCCAACTCTAGGAAGGAAAACATTCTGCAATAAAGTAAAATACTAATGACTCAAGAATACTGTGTGACACCTAATTTGGTGATTGCCACCCAAAGTTATATTCACCAGTTTAAATCAATTACTTGGCATAGTTATAATTACATTAATAACACTGGTTTGCTTTTCCAAATCCAAATGTTATACGATGAAAAATACTCTGACTCTAAATGGTTTTAATTAAAAAACCAACCATTTTTTAAAAAGGTGGTAAGAAGTATATTTTTTGTCTTCACTTTTTGTTTTTTGAGCACATGGTTTTCAAGAAAAAGGAAAGTAATGATTATAGTAAATTACAGGAGTCAGGCAGCAGGGTAATTAACAGGTAATTATCAATAAACAATTTAACCACAAAAGCTTGGATCCCACCTACCACTTGTCAACAATAAAAGCTTAGTAACTCCACATACCATTGGAAACAGAGTCTACAGGGAACCCCTGAAAGGACTGCTAATATAAATAAACAATTCTTTCTTGGGAGAATACACAAAGGCCAGGCTGTGGGTGACCACATAGAAGAAGGAAAGAAAAATCCAGTAGGAAGGAAAAATATTAGGAAAGCAAACATTTGGTTTCAGATTTAGGAGAAAAATATGAATGTGCTTGATACTGAAGCCAGAAAAATTATCTATGAAATGTCCTTCTCATCCATACATAAATTTTATGTTTATTTAAGCATGATTGGAAATGTACGATCGTTTAGCCAAGTTGGCATTATGACTCAGGAAAAAGTGGACTTTATCCAGGGCTAAATATAGCCAACATGATTTATATATTGAATGATTGGTGAAAAATCCACCAAAAATATATTTACTATGGAAATGTACAACTAGGCTTTGAACCCATTTCTAAACTTCATAGAGACCTTGATTGGAACCCTCTTCCTTTTTAAAATGGGTCAGGTATCTATTACTCTAGCTTGAGGGTATGGGAAGTGGTTCCTAAGTAGCTAGCGTAAAGGAGCCATTTAATTCAGACAAAAAAACCTGACCCTACCTAGTGTGAATAATAGTATAACCATAATTTTAAATTTCATTTTGGCTCTGTTAATGTGGTATTGGGACACAATTTCAAAATAGCTAAGTAAGAGATTGAATTTCATTGTAGAATAGATTTTCTCTTTCTGAATTTTATTTTGTCTACACACACACACACACACACACACACATCTTGTCTAAAATCATAGTTGAATATGCCACAATCAAATGTACTTATTGAATATTGTCAACAATTGGTGATGTGTTAGGCATAATGCAAAGTGCATTAAGTAAACATGTTCTCTGTCATTTAAGGTGCAAGAAATAAAATTCTCATAGGACACACTTGAAAGACGTACATGCAACTGAATAAACATTGAGCAGATGTACATATTCAATAAAGACCTCACTATCTACAGGGCAAGGGTAAATGTATATTGCAGAGTGATGAGAGTAAGATAGCTTGTGGGAGTTATAAGGTTAGATAGGGGAGTCTTAAGAAGTAATCACCATTTGACCACTGATTAGTCAGGAAAGTCTTTGGGGATGAAGAGTTATCACATATACAATTTGAATGATGGTCAGCAACAAGCCTGGCACATCAGAGTAGGGAGGTCTTGCCTGTAGAGGGAGGACAGAACAATGCTAGAATGAAGCCATGGTCTCTAGGCCTGGGCAGAGAAGCTCAGTCCCGGGCAGATAGTGTAAGCTGTCTGGGGAAGACCTTACTCTAAAGCAATAGTTTTAATCTTTAGTATAATGTTTAGAGTCCTCTAAGACCTAATTGCCCAAATATCTGACTTGACTTTGCTCTACATTTTGCCTAGACTCCAAACTAAGATCGCTTTCATTTTCTGTTGCTCGGCATTATGTCTGCCTAAATTTTTTCCTTCAGATTGCCCACATCCACTTTACTCATTAGAACTCTGCTAAATGACAAGTTTCCCATGGTTTTCTTAATTCCCTTTTGAATTTTTTTTAGACAAACCTAGATCTTGTTAAAAAACCTCCCACTGTGTCTTCTGTTATTAAAAAATAATTAAATAAAAAGTGAGTTTGGATACATCTATCATATAATTTGAAATTACACATGAATGTAGAGACGAAAAGTGACTTTGAAAGATCAATTCTCAAATTTTGATTTAAGAACTGTGCTATTAGCTGAAAGAATATGAACCAAGTCCATTCTTTTGACCTTTGTAAAGTCGAACCTAGTCAATTATTGCAGCAGAGCAGGGAACCAAAGAATAGCTTTGAATTGGTTAGACCCAAACTGATTTAAGTTTGCATGTGGTTAAATACGACATTAGTTAAAAATAATTAATGCTGTCTTTGACCTTTGAAATGAGGAAGGACATTCATTGTCCTCCCCCAGCTCCCACTCCATTCATGTAAATCTACTTAACTCTTTGCATTGCCTAAAACAGAACACAACGTTTTACTATATCTTGATATTAAATATCTTTAAAAACATAAGCAGAGTTGTATGCTTCTTAAATGGATGGCTTTCCACCAATTTTCACTCAGATATTTAGATATACAGATATACTCAGATATTTAAAGTATACAGTTTCCATGGCTCACAGCTAACCTTTGAAAACATGTAAATATACAGTGTATGTTTCATGAAATGACAGAGTAACGCTAGGATGAAACTATGGTCTCAACTTATCTAATCCCTTTGGTACAATTTGGCAAGATCTTCTTGGGATTGTTATAAGAATTTTATTGATCATTCTCCTTTCAGATTTCAATAAGACCCAGAAATGGGTGTAGTTATGGTGTTGTGCATGTGTAACGTAACTCACAGTTTTTTAGGGAGGTATGCCTAAATTGCATTATAATGCTTTGAAACCAGAAAGAAAAATGAAGCCAGGTTTTGTGCCTCACACCTGTAATCCCAGCACTTCAAGAGGCTTAGGCAGGAGGATCACTTGAGGCCAGGAGTTTGAGACTGTAATGAGCCATGATTGCATCATGGCACTCCAGCCTGGGCGACAGGGTGAGAACTTGTTTCCAGAAAAGAAAAGAAAGAAAACAAAAGAAAAGAAGTTAACATGTTTCCTCTTCCATTTTTCTCCACCATTTTTCCCCACGATTTTTCCTTTTCTGCCAATCTCCACTTCACTGTGAACAAAGAGGGCCTCTATCATCAGGAAATCTACTCAGCTCTGCTGGGGTGCTGACGGAAGAGAAAGAGCAGAAGTAACCTCAAAGCAGGTTCTAAATAAACAGTCTCCTACTTAATGTAGGATAAGTCTTTATTTTGCTCTTCATTGCTTCCAAAATTAATTTCTACTTCAAATATATTCTTTGGGGTTTAATAAGTATGCTCCACATGTTCTGAAATATCAGTTTTAAATTGACAAATAAATGGCCAGTAGAGGTGACATTGGGGACACATGAGTGGCTGTCAATAAATGTTCAGTAAACAAATGAATAACTCCATGTGGACTGTTATATAGACCACACTTATTCCATCTTCTTCATCTAAAAAACTCTTATTCTGTCTCTTGGGTCCCTATTTAATTTTTTTTTCCACAGGAAGGATTTTCCTGACTGCTCTTCCCAAATTAAATTATGTCCCAATTATTTGTTACCGTAGCACACTAAAATGCTGCTTGATCTTTTATCATATTGTATTGGGATTCACTGTTTAATGTCTACCTCCTCCACTGCACCGGCCTGTTATGTGTGGTATTCTGTCCCCACTGCCTAGTACAGTAATTGGCAAATAGATACTTGAACTAAAAATTTTATGGGGAAGAGTGGTCAGGAAGTAAATTTCAACTTGAATCAGCAAAAAAGAAATGAACAGTGGGTAAGGTATGCGAAGGAAAAAGAATCTGTGGCAAGAGAAGAAATTAAATAAAAGAAGAGATGCTTGGAATGGAATGAGGGGAAGGTAAATAATGACTTTGCCATCAGAACTTCATGCCTAAACCATGGAAGAAGTAATGGGCACCAAAGCAAGGGAAGGAAGTAGTTAAACAAAAAGAGAGCACAGAATAATTTACAGTAATAATAATCAGAAATTAAAATAGAAATGTACTTTAACAAGGAAGATTTCCTCCACCTGTTTTTATTCCTGACTTTTTCTTTTCCCTAGGGAAGGGGAGAGCAATGTGAAGTGAAAGTTTGATATAAAGATTTGATTTAAGACATGAGTTTTTCTTCAAAAATAAAACCTTATTTCATAGTAAGTAAATATAAGACATTGAACCATTTTAATAAACAGGGTATCTATCTGTTGTTATGAACTGGTCACTAACTCAACATCATCTTTTATTGTCAGAAGAATCATAAGTAGTTTACATATTTTAAAAATCAAGTTTTGGTTTTTAGCATTCACATATTTTTAAAACTCCAATGTTGGCAAATAGATTCTATGTTTTAGAAGTTTCATGAAAATGTGTTCTTTGTATCATTTTGCACAAAAGGAACATGATTTGGTATTTGTTTTTAGCAAGTCTGCCAACCACACGGAGATGTTCTTTACCACAGACTTTACCTCTGCCTCCAATTAGAAAACTATAGCCCATAAGAAATATCATTGAAAGATCAATGATAAATCAAACGCCTGTCAGTTGCTACCTCTTTCTGAGGGGAGAAGGCAAAGTCTGCTATAGCAGAGCCAAACCAGTAATTTTATAAAGAGATCAGTCATTTTCAGAAATCTTTAACCCTTATTCTTTATTGAGTTCATCACTTCACAAACCTCAGTTTGCACACACAAAATGAGGGTGCACATCCTTATCATTTTGAGTCCATTTCCCTTTCTGTAGATCATTCACAGGAGCACTTTTTAATATACAGAGAGAATTCTATGATGTAAATTTAAGTTTCTTGTGACTCTAAAATGGATCTTCTGGCTTTAAAAGCATAGCATTTGAAGTAGTCACTAACATTATCATATGAATTGCCTTGTAAACACATAACACATAAATATGGCTAAGATCAGAAGCTGCTAGAAATCAGTCATGAAGCCTCTGAGTATATGGATGAGCAGACACCAACCAAAGTAGACTGGGATATACTGGAGACTTTATTCATTTATCATAGTCCGCACACACTGCACTTGTTTTATTTTATTTTATTTTATTTTATTTATTTATTTATTTATTTATTTTTAATTTTTAGGTTCAGGAGTACTTGTGCAGGTTTGTTATACAGGTAAATTGTGTGTCATGGGGGTTTGGTGTACAGATTATTTTGTCACCCAGGTAACGAGCACAGTACTCAATAGGTAGTTTTTCAAACATCATCCTCCTCCACTCTCCACCCTAAAGTGCGTCCTGGTGTCTATAGTTCGCTTCTTTGTGTCAATGAGTTCTTGATGTTTAGCTCCCACTTGTAAGTGAAAACATGCAGTATTTGGTTTTCTGTTCCTGCATTAGTTCTCTTAGGATAATGCCCTCTAGCTCTATCCATGTTGCTGCAGAAGACATTATCTCATTCTTTTTTCATGGCTGCATAGTATTCCATGGTGTATCTATACCACAATTTCTTTATCTAGTCCACTGTTGATGAGCATTTAGGTTGACTCCATGATTTTGCTAATGTGAATAGTGCTGCAATTAAAATACAAGTGCATGGGTCTTTATGGTAGAACAATTTATATTCCTTTGGGTATATACCCAATAATGGGATTGCTGGGTCAAATGGTAGTTCTGTTTCAAGTTCTTTGAGAAATTGCCACACTGCTTTCCCAATGGCTGAACTAATTTGGATTCACACCAGCAGTGTATAAGCATTCTTTTTTCTCTGCAACCTTGCCAGCATCTTTTATGTTTTGACTTTTAATAATAGCCATTTAGAACTCTATTTTTATTTAAAGTGTGAATGCTACTCATTTTTTCTTGTTTTGCCCTTATTACCACTGAATTAGGATGCTTGTTAATAAACTTCTCAGTAGGTAATTTCAAAGTGAGACAAGTAGTTAATATGTGCACTAAGCAAATATGAAAATAAAACACATGCCTCATGTTAAAGCTTTATGAAAATTGTGAAGTATTTTACAATGTGAGACGTGTATGTGTGTGTGTTTATGAATTAATCACAAACCATTTTGTGCCTCTAGCAACTTTACTTTTCAAACTAAGTCTTTACTATTGTTGTTGTTTTAAAATTTTTCTTTCCTCTTAGAAAATGATTATCTCAGGACATATGATAGCTGAGAATTGGGGAGGAAATATAGAATGTCTGAGCATCAAGTGAGATATAGATATAAAATGCCATCTCATGCAGGTCAGCCATATTTAAAATTATGTTTCCTTTAGAAAAGAATGCACACGCTGATAAGCTATCTCATATAATCAATGGGCATGACTTCCTGTGAACTCTATTCATGCTGGATCCCTATAGTTCATAACGATAGGAGAGAAGAAACATAAAAAGCTCTCTTCCATTTGATAACTATAGAATCCTGGCTAAGTCCAAAGTTTAGCCAGAGAGCATATTGGTTTCAGCAGACTATGGTAAAGTTAATTAAGGATGATTAATGGAGCATTTCCTTCCAATGATATCTGTGACAGAACAAAGCTGTCTGAGGCTTGTCAAGCAGAATTTGAGTTGAATGAGTATTTATGTGATCAAATCTGAAGGCTGCCTCTTGACAGAGCGAGGATTCATCAATCAATTGCTCTGGCTTACAGTGGTGGGAAATTGGTCTATCCCAGTAGGTTCTGTTCCCATCCCCCATTTTTTTCATTCAATCATCCCTCAGGCTACAATGCATCTTTAGCTTTTACCTCTGACCACCTTAAGGTATATCAGAGAAAAGTAAAGGCAAGAGTGAAAACATCTATTATGGTAGTTCTTGTCTTACCTGAATTCATACAATTAATTTCTCTTAAGCAGAGGGTTATAAAGTGACACAGGCCTGAGGAAGGAATTAACTGGCGTTAATAAAAGTTATCTCACAACCTAACAAGAAATGATTGTGAGCCTAGTCAAAATTATCACCTTTTTCCGTTATAAAATTGTATGCTGTTTCTTAAGCTACTATAGAGTCAGTTAATTCTAAAAATTGTCTAAAGAACAAACACAGTTTATGCGGCAGGTTTTTGCTTTAGTCACATTCTACAAACTGCAGTCTTCAGACTTGCATTCTCAATATGACGGTCACTGGCCCTGCAAGGAAAGGCCCTGTTGGGCATCAGCTCTGGTTAGACCAAGCATTGATCCACCTGGACAGCAGGCTCATTTCACCTGGGGTATTCAGGATCTTGTTTAATTATAATGGAACATTGACAATGCAGAGGTGTGATCCGGGATTAGCTAAAATAGGTATATTTGTTTTACAAGGTTCTTGCAAGTGATTTCATTTGTATTATTTGATGATCACAAAAAGTTCATGCAAATAGAGCAGGTATGACTGTTCTTATTATGTAGATGTGGAAACTGAGGTTGAAAGATGTTCTATAACTTGCTAGAATGATATAGCTGTATGTGGCTGAGATGGGACACAGATCCACAGTCCCGTCTCTACCATAGTCCTTCATCTCTCTTGTAGACTACTGTCTTTCTGGGTTGTGGCTGACTGCTTATTTGCACTCTCAAATGATAGCACAATATTTGCACGCAGAATGTAAGTGTAATTATGTATGTTTTTAATGGTCAAAGCCACTTAAGCAGCTTCAGTCTGATACTACTTTGGCGGATGCTCTATTTAATTCTGAGGTTGAAAGACTGACTGCAACTTGGAGTGGCAAATTCTGGCACAGCCTGGCACTAGGACTCCTGGTGATTTCAGCGGTAACACTCAACTGCATTTAGTTTCTTGGCAGTGTCAGCATGGAAAATACACAAACAAATATGGCTTTCCAGATGTGTAAGCCCAACAATTCCTGAGATATGTTGTTCAGGAGGAAAAAATATAGTCATGCATGCCTATATGATTGTTATTGTTGTTGCTGTTATTTATTAAGATGTTTACAAACAAGCTTTTTTTTAACCTTTAAATTGCATTTTATTTTATTTTTTATTATACTTTAGGTTTTAGGGTACATGTGCACAACGTGCAGGTTTGTTACATATGTATACATGTGCCATGTTGGTGTGCTGCACCCATTAACCCATCATTTAACATTAGGTATATCTCCTAATGCTATCCTTCCCTACTCCCCCCACCCCACAACGGGCCCCGGTGTGTGATGTTCCCCTTCCTGTGTCCATGTGTTTTCATTGTTCAATTCCCACCTATGAGTGAGAACATGCAGTGACAAACAAGCATTTTTTAAGATTTTTTTATATAGCAGAGAAGGTACCTTGTTGGTCCTTTATCAGAAAATTGCACTTGTTCCCCAAATCATGCTTATTCATCTTGAAAGGTACAGTAACTGATTTTATAAGCTACATTCTCACTATCTTTGAAAAGCATATATGAGTCATTATTCAATAAAATTTTCATTAAATTTTACTTAAAGATTTTGTAATCATTTGTCATTACAGTATTAGTATTTGGAGGAAAAGTTTGTTATCTTTGTTATTTATTTTCAGAGTGCAACATGAGACATAAAAAGGAACATTATTTAATAAAAGAATTGCCAATGGATTAGGTTAATTTCAATTAGTATTCATTTCTCTTTAGTCTTAAACATGTAACACTTAACTATAACCCTTAAACTAACACTAACCATAGTTTTATATAGCTATAACTTAAATTGTAACAATGACTTTTAATTTCTAAAATCAAAACTTTTGAAATAGGTGATTAACATTCCAAAAATTCAAAATGAGCTTTAGCTTTTTAGCCATGTCATCCTTGAGAATTAAATATTTTTTATTTAATATTTTTTCTTTAAATGTTTTTCCATGAAAATATTGAAAGGCCTTATTCTCATCTGCTTTTCCTTTTTAGATATTTTTTGTGTAATACCATTGAAGACCCCTGTGCAGTTCTAAAACGTCTTTAGGCTAATAATTCCTTATTCTGTAAGATATTTTGGGATAGGAAAATTTATTTATTTTAACTTTAGAGAAAAAAAAATCCAAAGATCAGAAAGGAATGACTGAAAGACAGCCATTGGCCCATTTGACAATGTCTTCTGATATTAGCTCACTCCGAATTCCAGTGATGTTCAACAAATGCAGAGTTGAGAACTATTTTTTTCCTTCTTATGAACACTATATTTCTATGGATACTCTTGGATGTTAGAAGCTTTGTGGGTAATTATATCACAGTCTGCTATAGAATTTGAAAGTCTGTCAACTATGATTAAGTCAAGTCTTTGTCCATTCAGTATTTAGACAATTGATTTCTTAAACCTAAGTGCAGGATTTTCATGTCTATTAAATTTTAAAAATTAATTCAGACACATAGCTCTGACCTGGTAAGATAATTTAATATCTAGCTTCTGTTATTTTACAGACTTTCTACTTTTACCCCATGTCTGCTCCCTCCCTTAGGCATGTGTCATTTCGATATTACCCCTGCCCCCATCATCCAAGTCACTGATAAAATGTCTGAATGGAATAGGATAATTTCTAGGTTGCTATTGAGCCATTAATTAACCCTGTTTGCATATTCTTGAGCCCAAACATCCAACAAGCTCCAATGATAAAAATAAACAACAAGATATCACTTCTATGTTTTGTGTGAATGCATGACATCACCTTCCAAGTTACTGTAACTATGTAGGTAACAATAATTCAGGGGAGGTCTTTATGCAAGTTTCACAGGTCGCACTGCAATTGCAAAGTGGATAGTCACACTGTCTGTAAAAGTATGAAAGTACTTCCAATTGGAATGAAAATCTGGTCATTCAGTGAACATCATTAATTTTGGTGAGTTGGACTTGTTTAATTAAACTCTCTTGATTAATCTTATGTGATTGGAAGGAATATGGCAAATGCTGGTTTGGCAGTTGGCAATTTAAAAACAAAAAGAAGTGTCCATGCATAATGTCCATATTCTTCAGTAATACTTTCTACTAGGCTAATCATAGGATAATAGAACATAGCACATTTGCCATAATTTTGTCCACATGGTAGATAAAATACATTAAAATTAAATAAAAAAATTTGAGGTTTTAGGAAATGCTAAGAAAACTTGCTCAGAGAGGAAAACTTAAATATATATTTCATTGAAGATATTAGTGGTTATGTCTGAATGATGTTACATTTGATATATTGTGTATCACTGCCTTGAATTGCTAAACGTGTTTTACAAGGTTATACCTAAAAGATATGGGCTCTGTTATTCCAATTCAGTATTTTTAGAAAAAATCTTCAACAGAAATAAATAAGAAAGCAAATAAACAAAAGTTAGAATATGAGTTCTTAGTGAAGAAGTTGAGACTTCATTCCAGACTTATAATAAACTGTTGGCTGTGATCCTCAAACCTATGCATAGTATTTTTCATTTTTAGGTTCCTTAACAGTCCAGTAAATCAAGCTTTTCCATTCTAAGACCAGGTAGAATCAGCAGAGACACAAACCGGCTAATGCCATTGAAATGGTACTTACAGGCTTACTCCACCCACTCTATTCTCTGTTCAGTATCTCCGATACACATGCTTCTTTTTTTCCACTTTTTCTTCACAATCTGACATATATCTGCAGTGTACAAAATTCCACCAAATCAGATTTTAGTGTTTTTACCTATGTTTCTCCTCTGTTTATTACACAGCAAAGAGATTTATCCTTCCCTCCCTTTCTTTCTTTCTTTCTTTCTTTCTTTCTTTCTTTCTTTCTTTCTTTCTTTCTCTTTCTTTCTTTCTTTCTTTTTTTCTTTCTTTCTTTCTTTTCTATCTCTTTTTCTTTCCTTCTTCTTTCTCTCTGTTTTTTCCTGTCTTTCTTCTTTCTCTCCTTCATTTCCTCCTTCTTTCCTTCCCTCCTTCCTTCGTTCTTTCTTTCTTCCACTTCTTTCTCCCTACCTTCACTCTTTCCTTACATTCTCCTCCCTCTACCAAAAACAACAGAACAAAATCCACTCAAACATATTTTATCCATCTTACCTTCAGCCTTTATTGTCCTCCTCCATCTTATCTGATCTATTCTCCCTTTTCCTTTAGGTCTCAACGTAGACCTGCCTTCATCTGGGAAGTTTTATATATACCCTCTTGGTCCTCTTCCTTCACCCCCATCCCTGGTCCAGGCAGGTGCTCTTCTTTACTCCTATAGTCCTGAATGTGCTTGTTTATATTTCTGCACCCACCAGCAGATGATAAGTGCCATGGAGCTTTGGCCTATGGCTGCTTTCTTTATGGATGCACAGCCTGACATGCAGTAGGAGCTCAATAAATAACAGGGAAGGAAAGACAGGAGGGGGACAAGTGGAGAGAGGGGCAATGCTGTTTTCTAATAGAAAAGTATCTTAAGAGCTCTCTCAAGTTCATTTTCAGATAAAGCACAGCTACCTTCCAGGAATCTGCAGTAGGGATGGTAAGGAGTCAGCATCCCAGATGGGAATTGGTCCTGCTCCTGGTATCTGAAACAGTGCACCAAATGCCAGCCTTTCTATGGGTAAAATTGCCTACTCTGTACATATTGAAAGTGTAAGAGTAGATGTGGCCACCTAGTAAGGGTAGATACACATTGATATACAACATAATTGGCCCAAACTGCCTGAGTAGTCATTTGTACTGATTTTGTCCCCTTATCTCTTTGTTTCTGGCCATCTTCAAACTGTGGACTGGGGACCTGGGCTGCTTTTATGCATTGTACAATCTATTCCAAACTTCTCTGAGTTAAAATCTTTACCTTTGTTTGTAAGTTGGATGAGACACCATGATTAAGATATTAATAATTAGCACCTGTTTGGGAGACAAAAATGTCTGTTCAAATTTTGGATTTATCATGTATAAATGTGTGACTTTGGACAAGCCACTTCTCTGAACTTTACTTTCCTCTTCTATATGATCTGGATACCAGTTGGCCTGTGATGAGGTTTTTGAGATGATCAGATTCATGTAAATATATTTTGCAACTCTAAGCAGTATGAGGTCACAAACTGATATACATTGATAGCAGGTTCATGGATATTAAGTTGTCCATCAAGAGTGGCACTGAGTTTCCTTTATCATCTGATATAGATCATAAAATAGGAGACTTTGCTTAATTCTGGAGTTATGAAATGGGATTTGGAATGAGGGGTAGCTGTGTAGAGATATTCATCAGTGCCATCTCTGGTTTTGAGTACCTCTGGAAAAGACTCCCGACTTTATTTTTTGCTACCTTAAAAATTCACCCAGATTTTTAAAATACCTTGAGTCCTGAAAGTTTAGATTTAGATTATATTTATATTATGGTTGAGTACCTTTCTTTCCTTGCCTAGATATGTGAATACTATTTTTGTGTTGCAAGTAAGCTTAAAAATTGACTGTCTAAATATTTAGCCAGAGTTATTTTAAAAGAATTTCATTATTTATCTCTTTTATGATTTATATTATCACATTCTGCGTCTGTAGTTATGTTTTATCATAAGCAGCCCATCTGCTACAACTGCCAAATTGGAACATTCACATAAGATGAGTTCAGATATCATAAACATGACAAGAGATGGATTACATTTAGTCTTTCTCCATGTTTAACCAATTTAATTTGTTTCCTATGCAGAAGAGGCTCTAAATTTACTTAATATATGTTAGCACTTAGGAACATAGTTAGAAACAAGGCGAAGGTCTTAACCTATTCGTAAATAAATGAGAAGATTCCTGTCGGAGTGAAAGAGAGAGAGAGAATTTATGTCAAACAATCAGGAATTTAATACATAGCGGTCTTTTAGGATGTCCAGTTTGTGTACATACTCTTAAGGCATGATTACGAATAACTTCACTTCCTATAAACAATGTGACTGGAGAAATTACTCACAGATACAACAAAAAGGGGAAGAAAGGTAAGACGTTTTAACCAAAGCCAATAAGTGAATTACTTTCCCTGAAAAGGTTAAAAATGGCAGATTTATTTTTTGCTGCCATAATATTTGTCTTTGTTGGGCCAGCTATCTGAGGTATTCTCCAGAAGATGCAGGGCTCATTGATACATCACCACATGACCCTAGGTTCAAAGCTACAGCAGAGCCCCAAAGGATTTTTTTCCCCTGGAGTTTGGGGACTCAAGGAGCCTTAACTGAAGGTGAAGTCTGTTGGCTGAATGAAAGTATTGATACTGCTGTAGGGAAAGCGTTCAGTGATTATACTGGATTTCCCTCTGCCCCTAGTAAAGGTCAAGTAGAAGACTTTTTAGTGCAAGCAAAAGAGTCATTCATTTTTCACTCTTTAGGTAAAGGACTTATGTCATATTATTAGTGAAAATGTGATTAACTGTTAAAGCAACATAGGTCTTAATGATCTATAAGGCAATTTCTCTCAAAGTTATGGATTCATTGCTCTGAAGTACTAAATATATGTTGTTCTAGGATCATGCGAGTCATGAATACTAAAAGTAAAAATGAACATATTTCTTTGATGATGATTTATTACCAAACAATTTGGGGCTAATACATTCACATTATAGGATGCAAATATAAATGTGACATAACTGAGTGGGCCTTTAAGATGAAGTGTCATTACTTTTGGAAATATGGGCAGAGCTGCAACTTCATCACAGCCTTTGTAACATAATGTTTTGAGAGACTGTGACTGATGTTTCAACTTGCAGCAGCTTGGTTTCTAAATTCTGTACTTAGCAAGAGAATGGTTTCATTCAGCTTCATTGATGACCTAAAAACCCATATGTGGGGATATTATATGCTATTGTGAATTAGTATGCAGAGTTGGTAAAATGAGATTGGGTGGCTCTTTTCATGTAAGACACTGAGTTCACAATGAGCACAATGGCAGAGTCATGGCAGCAGCAGACCTAGCAAAAAATATGATCACAACCCGATGTCCATAAAGGTAGGCACCAATAGCTCCTCTGTAGGCTATACGGAAATACTCCCGGAGTACTGTGTCTTGGTCATACATCATAGTTATTTTTCCATATTAAGACAAAGACCTGTAATTACCCCTCGGATTACTCAGATAAATAAAAAGCTACACAAAAGGTCAAATTGACCTTGTTTTCTTCCTTAATTCTCTATTTTTTTCTTCTGGTCCTCTCCATCTTCTCATTCGAAGACCACAATTTGCTATTTATCTCTCTGTTTCTCTCAATATTTCTTCTGTTTATTTCCTCTTCTCCTTTACCTTTTTCTTCTTTTATTTTAATCTCCTGTATTCCCCCATTTCATCCTGTTTCTTGCTTTTTGAATCAGGGTAGGAGATATGCTGACATTAAGTATATTAATAGTTAGAGTCTTGGCATTGTCAAGAACTTGCTCAAAGGAAAAAAGGTTGTCAGGTATTGAGAGAGAATTGCATTCCTTAAAATAGTGATTATGTGATTTTCAATTTTTTTTATTCGGATCACTCATTTTATTACGGGAATCTAAGTAGATCCCTTCATTTCTCAGCAATTTTTTAATTGGTACAATAAATAAGATAGCTATAATGGTATTTGTGCAAAGCTTTAAAAAATAAGTTGGTAACTAGAAAAGAGGACAGAGGGAAGCAAATGATAGAGCAAAGTACAAATTATATGAGCACTGCAGATTGCTATACAAGTTAGACAGCCCCAGTGTGCGTCTAATTTATGTAGCTGATAACCCAAGTTAACAGAGACCCTGGCACTATTATGGAGGTAATATTTTCTCAAGGATGTACAGTCTTAAACAACTTCTTCCTGTATTAGGTTCATACATGCTTTTCTTTAACATAAAGCAGGTATGTCTGGTCTCTTGTTCCATTTCATTTTCTTGGAAAAATAAATTTATTGTAGGCCAGCTGAATGGAAATTCTGCTTACTGTTTACGACAGAACTTGCTCTCCCCCTCTCCTGTATTACCCAGGGAATTAGTTTAATATAGAGTCTTATTCCACACCCATTTCTTTATTTTTCCCCTCTCCATCCTACTTTTTAGGGTTCTGTTCAGAAACTATATTGCCACAGAGCAGCTGGTAGCATTTAGCAACCACCTGCACAAGTAGTTCTGTTTCCAATGGAAGAAAATTTAGCTTACATAAGGCAAAAAATTGTAACGTGTTGGCTTTTCCATTTTTATTTGTATTTGTGTATATTTTCTTACTCATTGATGAATGTTCTGCTAAGTGAAACTTAACTCCTTGGTAAAGAATGAGAAACAGTATGGTGTAGCAGTCATTTGTTTCAATAGCGTTTGGTTAAATTGAAACTCTGTCAGTAAGGTGAGAGGTTGATCATAGCCAGGAAGAGACTCTTAAAATCTGCAACTTCTTTGAAGGGTGAGAAAGGCACCCTCTTGAATTTGAAACTTCTACCATGATTTTCCAGGTAGTAGTCCCCATTGAAGACTATGAAAAGCATCATAATGTGTGCTGGATTCCAAAGAACAGCACTGTACAGTCAGACTTCTAAGACCTAACAGTAAATAAATTACTTTTCTATTGCTTCGGAACAAGTTTAAACCTCCAAGTTTTTGTTAAATTGTTCACCTAACTACCTACTGAATATTGATCATCACTGCACTACCAGTGACTAATATATCAAGTAGCTTGATGTCCTTAAATCAAGGTAGCTATTCTGTAAATGAAACCCTATTTACAAATAATATCTGCTGACTAACCTACGTAAAGACGACTGCAGCTCATAAGTCACCTTTGCTTGCCTCTCTCATTTAATCCCCAATCATCACTTTATTTTCTAGGTGGAGGAGCTGAGTCAGAGCAAGACTAAGTGACTTAGTCAAGGTTCGTTAGTTAGCAAGTGTAAACTCAGACAGATTTTTAACATAGTCATTTGAGGAGAAAAGTTCAGCAATTCTATTTTTTTATTGAGGGGTAAAAGTTACTGGGAGTCACAGAATATAGTTATGCAGTTATTACATTCAGAAATCTGAACCATGCAAATAAATGCTAGATTTCTTTTTGAATCCAATTTTAAAATGGAAAAGATCCTAGAATAAATTTAATATGATATTTTGGCTTTATAGATTAACAAATTACATGTATGACCAAAGTCACCCAATAGTTAATGGCAATGCTGAAATGGGAACCAAATTAGTTTCCTCCCTCCCTCCCTCCCTCCCTCCCTCCCTCCCTCCCTCCCTTCCTTCCTTCCTTCCTTCCTTCCTTCCTTCCTTCCCTCCCTCCCTCCTTCCTTCCTTTCTTCCTTCCTTTCCATCTTTCCCTACCTTTACTCATGACCAGCTTTCTTCTTTTCTCCCTTATTTCTCAAATGTTTTAGCCCATATACTGAGCTGGTCACTACTCATCTAAGCTAGGTATTGGAAATAAGCTATAACTACATCAGATGCTTTCTCTGCCCTTAGGAGATCAAGTGAGGGACACAGTCCAGTGAACTGATACAGTGCTGTCATGGCAGAAGCATAAGATACTAGGTATGGGCAATGGTTGGGTGAGATACACAACCAAGTCCAGAGGGAGTCAGAGATAGTTTCCTTGAGGGAATATTGTCTAAGCCAACACCTGAAAGATGATTATTCCTTTATTCCAATAAAAGGAAGTTGTATAATAGCAGAAAATGATGTATAGTCATCAGCCCAAAGACAAAAGAAAGCATGGCAGAGCCCATGAACTGACATAAATTCAGTATGAGTGTGGGAGGGCAGAGAGAAGAATGAGAGAAAAGACTCGGTTGAATTACCCTTAAAGGTAAATTGAATTCAGCCTGGCATTAGATGCTTGTTAGACATCATTAGGAGGTGTGCAAGAAAATACTCTTAAATTATGATAGAATGATCTAGGGTAGTGAATGATAGAATAGTAAATCCCCTAAGAGTACAGATTATGAACTTTTCTTGGAGTTTAGAGGCGAAAGAGGTTATTGTGAACCGTAGAAAAGAAGCCTTCAAGGAAGACTTTTAAAGATAAGTACCATATCTGCAGGACACTACCTTATTGCATTTCCTTTCTTCATGAGCAAATAGTCTTTGCTGTTTGTCTCTATCTCCTCAATTTCCATTCACTTTTTATCTTATTGCAAACTTCATTTTGCCCACAACACCTGAAAAGGTATGTAACATTCCCCAGCTGCCAAACAGAGTGTCAGTTTTTCAGCCCTTCATCCTCCATAACTTTCGTGGGACAATTCTTGCCTCTTGGACTCTATGTCCTCTCTGGCTTCTAGACCACGGTTCATTCACTTCTATTCTGCTCAGTCTCCTTTTCTGGGCTATCCTTATTCTCCCCTCCACAGTTCTCAAATGGTGTTTCCCAGGGTCCACACTTCAGCACCTTCATCTTCCTGTCCTTGATTCTCCTGGGTCATGTCCATTCAAAGATACTATCTACTTATCCATTATAGACTCCTAAATCATTATCGTAGGCTCTAAACCTATATTTCTACCCTCTTGCTTAATATCTCCACCTGAACGTTTCCGTTTTGCCCCACGTCAAATAAAGTGAAATATATCCGCCCTCTCCTTATTCCTTTTGGGGTTAATAGGCTCACCATCTACCTTATTTCTCAAGCTGGAATTTAGATGCCCACCTTCCCTTCTGGCACTCCTTTTCTCTTCTCCCATGTCCAGTGATTTGCCAAATGTAATGGTCTGCACTCCAGAAATATTTCTTGATTCTGCTTAATTCAAATCACTCTGCCTTTCCCTTAATTTAAAGCCTTACCACCTATTGCTAGGACTGCATGTAAGAGTATTCTAAATGGTCTCCTTTCCATTTGAGACCCTCCTTTTTAACCATCAAACCTGAGTTAAACTTTTATTTACTTAAGGCATTACTCTGGCTCCCTGTTGTCCATAGCAGTAGTTTCTCACTGTGTTCTGCTCAGTCCCAAGACCCCATGGGACGCCTTAAAGAGTAGCACTGGGGAAGGGAAAGCCAGGTGGATTGACCTCCTAGCTCCTACCTCTTCCTCAGGAAATACACCATCACTTTTTACTTGTTCAATATTTCTGGGTTTGCTTAAGATTTTGCTTGAGGAAAAAAAATGTATTCTGCACTAAAACATTTTGAAAATTAGAAAGCCAGCCTTGTTAGACTGATATACATGGCCCTCCGTGATTTAATTCCAAACGTCTTTAGCTTCATTTCTCCCCTTTCTCTGCCCCTCACCCTAGTCATCATTCAGAATTCTCCTGAAAGCATTGTGCTCCTTCACCACTGTGTGTCTTTGTTTATGTTCATTTTCTCCCTTTGAAGTCCATGGTCACGTTTATTCTTCTTTTTCCCTACCTTCTCTACCAGGCAAATTCCTGGTCATTCAACACAAATCTTACTCTTGTAGCTGTCCCTGAGAAAGTACCCTGCAGAAAGACATTCATCATAAATATCTTCTACAGTCCTGGCCAGGCGTGGTGGCTCAAGCCTGTAATCCCAGCACTTTGGGAGGCCGAGGCAGGTGGTTCACGAGATCAGGAGATTGAGACCATCCTGGCTAATGTGGTGAAATCGCGTCTCTACTAAAAATACAAAAAATTAGCCGGGTGTGGTGGCGGGTGCCTGTAGTCCCAGCTATTCGGGAGGCTGAGGCAGGAGAATGGCGTGAACCCGGGAGGTGGAGCTTGCAGTGAGCCGAGATCGCACCACTGCACTCCAGCCTGGGCAACAGAGGGAGACTCCGTCTCACTAAAAAAAAAGAGAAAAAAGAAAAAAGAAAAAAATATGTATGTGTGTATATATATATATATGTGTGTGTGTGTGTGTGTGTGTGTGTGTGTGTGTGTGTGTGTGTGTGTGTGTGTGTGTATGTATGTATCTTCTACAGTCCTTAACGTATCAGTTGCTTCTACCTCCAGATTGCTTTCTCCCTGCCTTCTTGGAAGGCAGGAAGTTGGGAGTGGCTCTTATATTTCTACCCCAGCTTATAGCTTAGTGCCTGTGAGGCAGGAGGAGCTGCTCAGTTCATATGACCTCTGGCTCCTCCTCCTCCTGCTGTTGCTGCTACAATGGTGAAGCCAAAGAACATTTTTCAGCAAAAGGGTGAAATATCAATAGTGGCATTTTAGGTATTTAGGATGGTTGATCTTAAAAGTCAAGTGCAGGTTGGGTAAGAAGGGGGAAATCTAAAGTCAAAGAGATAGGGATCTGAAGGAGATTCTTACAATAGTAAAGTGTGCATTAGATTAAAATCTACTACAGATTCATTGCTGAATTAATGGGATGAGAGACTATGTCTCACAGGAGAAAGGTGGAAGGTTGAAATGTGTTCATTGTCTTCAGAAATCCTACCCTATGGCAATGAGTGCATTTCTTCATTCCATGGAGTCCAGATTAATCCAGATAAGCTCACTAGCCCTCTCTATCCCCATCACATAGCTAGGGTAACAGTAGCAACAGCAACAACTTGCCTTTGTTACTATGTGCCAAACAATGTGCTATATGCTTGACTTGCATTACCTCATGAGAGATAATGAGATTAGCATTATAAGTACTACAGTATAATCTTCACTTTAGAGATGAGAATCATGAGGTTCAGCAAGGTTAATTAACTCGCACAAAGCCTCGTACCTAAGAAGTTGTGGACCTAGGGCAGAAATTCATGTATGTCTTAGTCCTGAGCCAGACCTCGACTCCACTTTCTGCTCAATCTCAACAAGCTCTGTTTAGCCAAGTATTTTTTTTTTGTATCTAATATCTGAATACTGATAGGTGTTCAAGTAGCATCTCATTTATTAATGCAAATCAGGAAAGTTAGAGTTCCAGAGAAGTGAATTCTCAATATATCTGAAGATCATCTGTTTGAGCCCTGTAGCTTCCGTAACGTTGCCATTAAGGATGAAAACTTTTCTAAAATCATTAGTACAGAAGGCCAGATAGCCAACTGGGCCTTGTTTGATTCATGTCCTAAATCAAAGCAAATTGACACCAAATGACTTTCTTTTAAGAAAAGTATATAAGCTTTGGCACATGTGCTTAATCTCTGTGCCACCAAAATTAAAGGGAATTTCTCTACACTTGTGAGTTCTTGGCTGAATGTAATTGAAGTTGTTAGATAGCATCCCTGTAAACGTAGACTCACAACTTGCTTTGCTGCTTTAAATAAGTTGGATCTCTACTGTTTTTTCAAAGTGTGGTCAGCGGAGCTCGTGCATCAAAAGCTGTGATACTGTTTTAAAATGCAGATTGCTGGACTTAATCCCAGATTTATAATTTAGAATCTTTGGGGGTAAAACCTGAGAGTCTGCTTGTTTGTATGAAATAACGAACACCACAAAGAAGAGTATGCTGATTGTCTTTTGAATAAAGTGAGAATAAAAGTGCCAAGCACAGTTGTTAAAATATGCAGACATTTAATAATAGCTGTTAGCCTTGGCAGCTCTATTTTATATTACACCCTGCCAAACGCCTTTCAACTAGTTACTTTCAGAGGTAATTAATCGTAAACATCTCAGCTCTGTGAATATTTAGACTCAGTTCAAGTAGCTGTAGCACCTAGCAAGATAATTCCTCTTCCTATCCTTCATCTTGTTATTTAGCTTTGATTTGTATTTTTCATCTCCAGATATAGAAAAATAGTTTTCTAAGGTCCTCTTCTGAGCAAGAATTCTGTATGTGTTTTATCATTTAATTCTCATAATAACCTGCAAAAAAGACATTATTAGCCCCATTGCACAGATGAGAAAGCTGAGGCTTAAATAGCTTAATTAATGTTCCAGGGTCACAGAAGCAGGGAGTTGGTTTGAATCCAAGTTCGCCTGACTCCATAATCCTGCTTTTCCTCAATATACAGTTGTTTCTTCTCATGTGTCTCCTTACATGATAGATGCAGGTATAACTACAGTTTAAGTTTCCTATCCAGGACCTCTGGGTCACACTGTCACTAACCCTATTTCTATGACACATCTCTGGTACTTTTGGAATCCTCACTTTACTCACAAAGTTACACCCTTGGGAAAAGCAGGTAAATGGTATCATTTAAAGTTTGAGGCATAATTGAAGTCTGGAATTATTTTTAGTAGCAGGTTTTTAAAAAACAAATCTCACTAACCTAGTTAAGAGTTGGTGTGTGGAATCAAGGGCTGACCTGTTCCTCTGGAACCATTGCTGATTTTTTAGTCAGTGCTGAGAAATAGGACTTTCTAGAAAGATGAAAATGTTCTATATCTGCATTGTCCAGTACAGCTGGCATTGGTCACATGTGGTTACTGACCTATATGGTTAATGGCACTAAATAGCCAAACTATTAATTTTGATTTTAATTAATTTCTGTTTAAATTTAAATAACCACATGTGGCTAGTAGCTGCCGTATTAGGCAGCATAGGTCTGGATAGATCTACAGAAAGACAGTTAAGTCAAGTAGTTAAGGATTCAAATCTGGAGCCAAACTGACTGGCTCACTAGCCTGTGTGACTTTGAGTAAATTACTGGGCATCTCTGTTTTTCATTCCCTTGAATATAAAGTGTGATTAATAATAGTATGTACCTCACAGGTTAGTTATGAGGATTACATGAGTAATTTTATAGGAAAATACTTTGTATAATACTTCACACATAGTAAGAGCTCAGCAAAGTTACAGCAGTTATTATAACTCTTATTAGTTTCACTTCCTACATAATTTAAGTTTGCTTGCCTTTTTTTAAGACTGGAAATCTCCTTAGAAGTGTTGATAACATGGTAGCTGCTAAATATATATTTATTGAATTAAATTTTTGACATCTCTCCGATTTGGAACTTTTGATACACACAGCCTGATATATATATATATATATATCATCTCCACACACACACACATACATAAAGAGAATACTGGAAAGGATCTCAGAAAATGCCTTCCCTTTTTGAGATATACAATAAGAAAGTGCAAGTCTGTGGTCAAAATGAATCAGAAGGAAAGAAGGTGAAGAAGCTCCAATACTTACAAAGACAAAACATGAAATCCTGTCATCTTTTGTCTCATGCAACTCAAATACTCAGGATCTTTAAAAACTCTATTTGAAGTTTGAAATGTATGAGGAGGTGATCAAGGAAAGGGCCATGTTAACAGGACACATGATAAGTAGTAGGAAATCATTTCTTATCAGGTATATTACAAATCAATCTTTGAGATATTTATTGGCCAGTCATTATGTAAGTACCTTGCGCATCAAAACATACACACATGGCTAAAGGGACTTGTATACTACACATAGTGTGTATGTATACGTGTATTTGTGTGTGTCTATATATATATTAATATTGACATTAAAATTAGATGGTAAAACCTTTTCATTTAGTGCCAACCAAGTCTAGCCACGATAAATCAAAAATGTGAACTACCTTGGCAAGCCTTAGCTTATAAAGACCTTACAAATAGCTATACAAATAATTTTCTAAATGGAAATAATATTGGGCCTGAACTTTAAGGTATTATAGATAGGAAAGAGAGGAAAATAATTGCCTTTTTAGTTTGTGACTATATTGTAAATGCCAGACAACGGAAAAACTAGTAAAATTAAAAAGGAATTCCGAAAGTAAATCAACAAATTGGCTGAAAATTGTCTTTTTTCTTCATCTGCATTGTAGATTAAGGTTGACTACATTACCAATGAGTCATTTTAATAGAGAACAAGTCACACTGCTTGGTTTATGCTGAGCTACAGGTCTAGGACTGATGGGGAGTCCTGGGGGAGGGGACTCAGCAGATAACATACTATCAATGTGAGCTTATGACTGCTTAGTTGACAGCTTAAAAAGAGAGACCGGCTGCTGGACTGAAGGAAATATAATATGTCCTTTTAACGAGCTGAATTTGAAAAACTTTTTGAGGAAAAAAGAAGCAAGGTATTCATGAAGGGCTTTGTTTATCACAGTTGCCAGTCTACATCTTTATTAGCTTGTAAGAGGTGCCAAGTGTAGATATTTGTCAGTTTACTGTGGAGTAATTCTGTCCTTTTAAAAACTTTTAGTGGCATGATATTGAGATGGCCCTATTGTTACATTCTTGTTTAATTGTTGACTTTGTGTTGATTTTATTATTCGAGTAGGCCCCACCTATTGTTTTAGAGGTCAACGAGCTTTTTCATTGCATTTCATCTGAACTGTAGCCCCTAGTCAACTGCACTTTCTTCTTAGGCAAACATTCCGCAGCAGCTGGGTTGGAAACTATCATTCCACACATCACAGCAAATCTTAGACAACTTGAGTTTAATTATTCCCTGTTGACTGGCTTTGCCATTACTAAAATCTCTTTTAACACACTAGCATTGAGAGTGGAAGTGTAGGGTTTCTTAGCTCTCAGCACAATAGCTTTTGCATTAATATCTCATGGCTTATTTCATAGAGCAAAGGCCTACTTGTGGTCTTTAAAATTTGTTTAAACATAAATTACAAAGAAAGGCATGGGTGACACATAGCTATATATAGAGAAAAGAAAGCACATGAGTAGCCTTAGATACTTTGTAAAGAGTGAATATTTCTTAAAAAATAATTTTTTTGCCTTTCAAGTGAATGTTAAAGGGATTTTTAACCACACTTTTGTTTTTCCTAGTTTTCAGAAAGCATTTATGTTTTATTACTCTGTTAAATAAATATTGTGGGCGTAGTATATTAAAAATTGAACTTTTCATTTTACTTAACAAACTGTAATTTCATGATTAATAGTGCTTAATCTGAATGTTCTGTGAAAACTTCGTACAGCCAAAAGTGTTCAGTGTTACTAAAGATTAGCCACCTCACAAAAGAGACAGTTATGTAATTGTTTTCAAGAAGGTTTGTAGTCTTTAGAGTTATGAGAAAAACAATAAAACATTGGATGTTGGATATCTAGCGTAACATATCCTAGGATTTATCACAACCTAGAAATTAAGTAATACAGAGGAAAAGAACTGAAGAATTTATATTTTAAAAATTCATTTTGAAAAATCAAACATGGCAGAACCTATCATGGGGGCACTATTGCTTTCAAGATTATGTGGGGCTGGTGAACATTATCTTGAAGCTGGCAAACATGACCTGATTGCACTAAATAGATGGCCAGAAACTTCTCTTCTTAGCTGGCTATACATTGTCCTCCCCAAGCTTCAAGCTTCTAGGTTACACCTGCAGAAACCACTGGAACATGGTAGGATGGACTCTGAGAAACTAATGTCCTTCTTGATGATGATTCCTCGACTCTGCTCTATTTGGGAGATAAGGCACATCACTAATTTCACAAGCAATCTGATTATATCTCTCCTCTGTCAAAACCCTCCAGGGGTTTCCCACTGTGTTCATGATAAAGCTCAAAATTCGTATAATCACTCATGCGGCCCTCCATCATCTGGCTCCTGCAAATTCTTCTGCCATCTTTGTACATTCTTCGCTCAGTTCCTGAATTTCTCTCAGTTCCTTAAACTTGCTTGCAGGCTTTCACACATTTCATATATACATGTATTCCTTCCTTCTTTCAATATTTATTGAATGCTGACTGTGTCAGGCACTATGCTGATTGCTAAAGGCTATGTAGGAGAATAAAATAGACATGGTCTGTAGCCTCCTGAAATGTATTAACTACTCAGGAAGGCAGAAATGGGACCAACAGTTACAAAACCTGTTCTTTCTTCTTTTTATCTTGCGTATATCTACCACATTCTTTTTCTCTTTTTTGTTTTTTTCTCCTTTTTTTTTTTGAGACCAAGTCTAGCTCTTGTCGCCCAGGCTGGAGTGCAGTGGCTGGGATCTCATCTCACCGCAACCTCTGCCTCCCGGGTTCAAGCAATTCTCCTGCCTCAGCTCCCCAAGTAGCTGGGATTACAGGCTCATGCCAACATGCCCAGCTATTTTTTTGTATTTTTAGTAGAGACAGTATTTCACCAGGTTGTCCAGGCTGGTCTGGAACTCCTGACCTAAGGTAATCTGCCCGCCTTGGCTTCCCAAAGTGCTGGGATTACAAGCATGAGCAACCGCGCCTGGTCCTCATTCTTTTTATTGTTATAATTTTTATTATTTTTTAATTTTACTTTAAGTTCTCGGATACATATGCAGAAAATGCAGGTTTGTTACATAGGTATATGTGTGCCATGATGGTTTGCTGCACCTATTGACCTGTCCTCTAAGTTCCTTCCCCTCGCCCTCCACCCCCAAACAGGCCCTGGTATGCATTGTTCCCCTCCCTGTGTCCAGGTATTCTCGTTGTTCAACTCCCACTTATGAGTGAGAACATGTGGTGTTTGATTTTCTGTTCCTGTGTGTTAGTTTGCTGAGAATGATGGTTTCCAGCTTCATCCATGTCCCTGCAAAGGACATGATCTCATTTCTTTTTAAGGCTGCATAGTATTCCATGGTGTATATGTACCACATTTTCTTTATCCAGTCTATCATTGATGGGCATTTGGGTTGATTCCATGACTTTGCTATTGTAAATAGTGCTGCAATAAACATACGTGTGCATATGTCTTTATAGTAGAATGATTTATATTCCTTTGGGTATATACCCAGTAAGGGAATTGCTGGGTCAAATGATATTTCTGGTTCTAGATCCTTGAGGAATTGCCATACTGTCTTCCACACTGGTTAAACTTACTTACATTTCCACCAACAGTGTAAAAGCGTTTCTATTTCTCCACAGCCTCACCAGCATCTATTGTTTCTTGACTTTTAAATAATCGCCATTCTGACTGGCATGAGATGGTATCTCATTGTGATTTTGATTTGCATTTCTCTAATGATCAGTGATGTTGAGCTTTTTTTCATATGTTTGTTGGCCCCATAAATGTCTTATTTTGAGTTGTCTGTTCATATTCTTTGACAACTTTTTAATGGGGTTGTTTGTTTTTTTCTTGTAAATTTGTTTAAGTTCCTTGTAAATTCTGGGTATTAGACCTTTGTTAGATGGGTGGATTGCAAAAATTTTCCACCATTCTGTAGGTTGCCTGTTCACTCTGATGATAGTTTCTTTTGCTGTGCAGAAGCTCTTTAGTTTAATTAGATCTCATTTGTCACTTTTGGGTTTTTTTGAAATTACTTTTGGTGTTTTCATCATGAAGTCTTTGCCCATGCCTGTGTCCTGAATGGTATTGCCTAGGTTTTCTTCTAGGGTTTTTATGGTTTTGGGTCTTACATTTAAGTCTCTAATCCATCTTGAGTTAATTTTTGTATAAGGTGTAAGGAAGGAGTCCAGTTTCAGTTTTCTTCATATGGCTAGCCAGTTTTCCCAGCACCATTTATTGAATAGGAGATCCTTTCCTCATTGCTTGTTTTTGTCAATGCCTACCTCATTCTTATATTTCATGTTGCATATTAAACATCCTTTCCTGAGGGAGACTTCCCTGATCCTTCCCCTGTGTAAGATCCTCTTGATATATGCTAAAGCTAGCTTGTCCAACCTGTGGCCCAAGATGGCTTTAAATGAGGCCCAACAGAAATTAGCAAACTTTCTTAAAACATATGAGGGGTTTTTTTTTTTTGGTGTGTATGTGTGTGTGTGTGTTGTTTTTTTTTTCTCATCAGCTATCATTAGTGTTAGTGTATTTTATGTGTGGCCCAAGATAATTCTTCTTCCAGTGTGGCCCAGGGAAGCCAAAAGACTGGACATTCTTGTAAAGAAATAAAACGAACCATATTAGCAGAAACTAGACCTGAAGAATTTATAAAAGCCTCACTTGACTCTGTGACTTCTAGGTTCTTCTTCAGTTTTTATTGGTCATCTTCCCTCACTTAGTGATATTTAGCTCCTGTGGTTTAAAGCCATGTCGAGATGTTTGCATGAGGGTCTGCCATAGAAGGAAGAGAAGAATACATCTGAAAAGCATAGAGGGAATTATTATTGAGTACCTACCCATCTTAAATATTTTACTCCTATTAAAGTATTTAGTCTTTATACAAACATTGTGCGACGGGTCTGGAGAACATAGCACAAGAGCACAGAACTCTAGAAATGGTCCACTTAAATCAGATTCTGCTGCTGGGACCTTTCCGTTTCTTCAGTTGTAAATGGGAAATAATACAGGTTGAGTGTCCATTATCCAAAATGCTTTGGACCAGAGTGTTTCAGATTCTTTTGGATTTTGGAATATTTGCATATACATAATGAGATATCTTGGGGATGGGACCCAAATCTAAACACAAAATTTATTTGTTTTATATATACCTTATGCACATAACCTGAAGGTAATTTTATAGAATATTTTTAGTAATTTTGTGCATGAAACAAAGTTTGCAGGCATTGAATTGTCAGAAAGCAAAGGTATCACTGTTTTAGCCACCTATATAAGGACAATCTGTGGTGTCATATAGGCACTCAAAAATGTCATATTTTGGAGCATTTCAGACTTTATATTTTTGGATTAGGAATGCTCAACTTGTAGTATTTATTTCTTAAGACTATTGGGTGACTTAAATGCAATAATAGATGCAAAGCCATGAAAACATGCCTGATATGTTGTAAGTGCGGGCTTTTGTTATTCTCATGTTATATATGAGGAAAAAGACTTGTGAGTTGGGTAACTTGAAAATTGTAGAGCTAGAAACAGAAAGCAACAGAGGTGGGATTGGAACACAGTTCTGTCCAATTTCAGACTCTAGTATCTATTCTCTATACCAGATGGGTAAATACCCACCCCGATTGACAAAAAAGGCAATCAATAGGTACCAGATGAGACAGAGTCTGATTTTAAAAGCCTGAGTTTTAAGAAGTTGTCTTCATGTCTGCTTTTCATGAATAAAGTTGTGCTTGATCTCTTATGTAATGAGTAGCAGTGGTCATTTGAGTAATGTGGTAGATGGTGGCATAAATCCCTAGGAAGCAGAATATTCTTCTGTTTAATTTTAAAATGCTGTGTGTCAGGTTCAGAAGAGAAGAAAGAAATGACCTCGTCTTATGCTAACAAGTTGCTTTCTCCTAACATACTTTCAGGTGGATGCTATTTTTCAGAATTTCCGATCCAATATCTTAGAGTGTGCAAGAAATCATGATTTAGCAATAAAATCCCTGCATTAACCTGATATGGATAAAATATGTCTTTAAACAATTGTCAATACTGAAGTATTTTGATATAACTGATGTTTGGGCATAAACTTGAGTCTAGATTTTTCTTTTTATAAAGAGGTTTTTACTCAAGATTTTTCTTGCATCACATTCTTTGCAATTATAATTTTTCTACCTGTCCTTGTAGTCCAGAGTAATTAGAAAGGAAACCTCTGTAGTTTTGATGTCATGCATTCATTCTTGTCCATTACATTAGTAATGTATCAGTGCCAGAAGGAAGTGCTTGGTGGTAGGATCATTGCCAATTTGTTCAAAATTTAGTTCCACTTTAATTATCTAATATAAGCCAGAGACAAAGGTCCCTAAGACATTTTTTTCTGGTCTTGGAAATACTAGAGTTTACTGGCAAAATGTATATACATGAATAGATACATTTAAAAATAATACGTAGACTTCCAATTGTGAAACTGTGGAAGCATACCAAAATGCCCATCACTGGGAGTTTGAAAATTTGCCATCATTTCTGGAGATGAAATCTTTAAAATGATAAGCATGAGTTAGCCTGGCAAGTCAAGGGTAGACAGGATATGCTGGGCAAAGAGACATTTGCCAAAGTAAAGGCTCATAAGCTAAAACTTTGGTTCAGGTAAATATTCAGGTGAATATGAGGACTTACAATCCCATTAGTACTTATAAAGTCCAAAGTATTACATAGAAAGTAACAGAGCATGAATGTGACATGGTGGTTGAGGCTACATGGAGTGCCTTAAATGTCCTGTGAAGTTCCTTGGCCTTCAGCCCGTCAGTGTAGGTAGTCACATACAGATAGTCATTCAAGGACTTTAAGCAGGGAATTAACGTGATTTGATTTTTACACAAGATAAAGTACTCTGGCTATATTTGGCAGAATGGATCGCACCTGAGCAAGTCTGGATGCAAGGAGCTGGGTGCTATAAAATGGGAGAAGACAAGCAATAGTGAGAAGCATTTGATACGAGAAATATTTTGGAAATGCAATCGACAAAGCTTGAGGATTGGCTGGATTTGGGATCTGAGAGAGTCATAGAGGCTAAGATAGTACAAGCCAGAGAAAGAGAGTGAACACAAAATGTTTTCAGAGTTGCCAGACTGAATTTAAGATGCCTCTGGGACAACAGGATAAACCAGTTTGGAGTTCAGAGGTGAGCTTGTGGTTAGAAGTATTGTCAGGGAATTACCAGCATTGGGGAGAGAGGGAGGATTAAAGCTTTGAGAGTTGTTGGAAGAGAGCCTAGTGGGCATGTTAAAGGGAGAATAGGCTGAGGATAAAATCTTGGAGGAAATTCAGCATTTCCTCAGCTAGCAGAGAAAATGATCCCAGGAGAGCATCCTGAAAAATAATCCAGAGAAGTAGAAAATGAACCAGGAGAGGGTGGGTCATAAATGCCAAACAAGGAGATCATTTCAAGAAGGAGGAAGTGGTTGTTAGTATCAAATGCTGTAATTTTCATAAATATTTTATATTTGTTCTTAAGCTCATTTTTTATTGCATTTATTGGTGATAGAAATAGGTATTACATGAATGGGGCCAAAATGAAAATAATACATCCTTTTCTTAGAGTAAACTATGGAAAAATCACATTTTGTGTAAATATAATAATTATAATAACAATCCTTTAACTGGTAGTTATATAGTATGTAGGGTTTATAAAGTGTCCTCATTTCCAGTGTCATTTGATTTTCACGAGAATCCAATAAGACAAGCATTGGGACCTTATTTTTCTCCTTTTTTCAATTGTAGAAGCTGATGCACATTGAAGCCAAGCAACTTGTCAGGGCTTGCTGCCGGTTAGCTGTAGAGCTTGCACAGCACAGTATTATGTCCTTAGCCCCCTGACCCACTGAGGGTTCATGATACCATGTTAGAAATCCAAACATGACTAATTGTCCTTTAGCCTAAGGACACAAAATCTTCACATCCATTCCTCAGGTTTATTCTTTCCTCTTAGTCATTATCATTCAAAATCTTCAGTTTCATAAAGTTGCAATAGTCAAAATATCAATTACTATTTTATCTAATCTCTTGTGTTCCATTTTTCCTATGTATGGGTAAAATTACAGCTGTGATTTGTTTCTTCTGAGATTAAGTTTATTGGGGGATAATTTTTATATGGATAGGCCTTTAATTTTATATATGTATACACACACACACACACACACACACACACACACACACATACAAGGGTACCTGCGGAAGTAAATGAAGTGAAAACCTGTGATACAGTGGAAAGTAAGAAAAGACATTGACATTTGTCAGTATTTTGTATAACATTGGGAGATAATATCCTGAATAAAATAAATAATAAACTGTAAAAAAACAAGAAAAAGTTAAATCCATGTTTATTGGAGATAGCATGATTATATTACTTGATACAAACATCTACCATCCAGTTCTTACACATGAATTACATTTTTCTTTCAGATCGAATCATGGGAAGATTTTTTTTTTTTGGTATTTTTTCATATATCACTCTTAGTAAAAATTTATAGTATCCAGAACAAAGGGAGAATTTCTATTCTTTTTATTCCTCAGTTCTTTCTACATCAGTATTGCCTGTTTCATACAGATTTCACAGGAGTTTCTCTGTCTTATGGTCTACTTTGGATAGAACCCATTGAATGTTGGTTTAATTTCCTATTGCTCATTCTGGAATGACCTGGCATTCCTTTAGTATCTATGTTTCCTCTCTTGGGAGCTTTCTATTTTGTTAGAGTCAGTTCTCTGTCTTCCCTTGAGAAAAGTAAGGCCAAAAGTTTTCCCCTGCCCTGCCCCTTCATCTGTATTTTAATAGTTTGCTCTTCTAGGCCAGTTTTCCTGTTTCTCTTTGTGGTCTTTCCCATTTTACAATAGTTGAGGAATAGCTTCTTATCCTTGTTATTATATATTTTCATCATTGCCTTCCTTTGGAAGTAATATAAAATAAGTGCTTGACAAATGATTATCAAATGATTTATTCCAATAATTATTTATTTCATTTATAATTATTTTCATTTTTTGGATAAATTTCTAAATACCATTTTAAGGTCATTTTTTACTACTCTTTTTAAAGGATTACAATAGCTATGGTATAAATGTTAAAGAGCTTTATAACTCTGTCATAAAACAATATTTCTAATTTATTTTCTCAAATATGTATTGGATACCTACTATGTACAAATCACTGGATAAGACATGAAGAGAGACATAACGCCAAGGGTCCTGTCTTTAACAAGAATAAAGGTTAATAGAGAGTCCAGAGTGGATGAAAATCTGGCAGCCTACCTTGAGTTACTGGTTCTTATTAATAGGTTTATTCATGAGAACCAAAGCAATTCAATTCATTCTCATATATTCAGTAAATGTTCCTAACTAATAGAAAAGGACAATAGCATCTTACAACATATTTTTCTTCTAAACCTTCATTATTGTTTCTTTGCCACAAAAGGTATTTTCTGATAGAAAATTAGTATGTATAACATTAAATTATGCATGTGTATACTTAGAGAAGAGAAATATTCTTAAAATAATGCTAATAATTTATAAGCATACAGTGACATAAAAAAGAAATTCCAGGAGTACCTTTGAAATCTTCCTATTAATTTAGCAACATTGAAAGCAGAATATCCATTTTGGGGTTTTATCATATCTATATGGAAGGCTGTTCTGTAATGTATAAATGAAACACTGCCCAGTGGATTTAGAATTTAGAATTCAAAATTGAGAATCAAATTGTCTATGGTGTGAAAAAGGACATTATGGGTAGAACCTCAAAACCATCAATAAGTTCACTTTTAAATGGGTTAATAGAATTCCTTTTCGGCTGTTGAGTTCAACAGTGTCAAGGGGAAAAGCTCCCCAGCTGATATTTTTATTTGAGGGAACACCTAGTTCTCCCAATCCTATGTAAATTACTGTGGGGATTCCCTGTGAAGCTTTGTGGAATGTTGCCCAGAATTAGAGAAACTGGCTCATAATGTAGACTAGAGAAAAAAAACATAGTTCTAGCCACTTTGTGTTGAATGGAAAAAAAATATTGGCCAAGTACACATATTCAGCATCCACGAAAGTGTATATACATTTGAGCTGTGACTTCATCTGACTTGCTACAATTAAGTACATTGGGAAACAATGTAATTCGAGGGTTGCTTCTGAGAGAATGCAGACGCTTAGCTTTGATTTTTTTTTTTTTTTTTTTTTTTTTGACAGAGTCTTGCTCTGTCGCTGGGCTGGAGTGCAGTGGTGCGATCTTGGCTCACTGCAACCTCCGCCTCCCGGGTTCAGGGGATTCTCCTGCCTCAGCCTCCCAAGTAGCTGGGACTACATGCGCCACCACACCCAGCTAATATTTGTATTTTTAGTAGAGATGGGGTTTCACCATGTTGGCCAGGATGGTCTCGATCTCTTGACCTCGTGATCCACCCGCCTTGGCCTCCCAAAGTGCTGGGATTACAGGTGTGAGCCACCACGCCTGGACTAGCTTTGACTTTTAAGGTCTGATTTAGAACAGACAGTTTTAATGATTAAAATAAACATCTAAATCCACAGAGGTAAAAATAGAGTGGTTTGATCAAAAGAGAGTTTGTAGGCATGTATATGAAATAGCTTTTGTGATAGTCTGGGGATTTCATTTCCAGTAGGAACTACATAAATGCCTAAATATAATTTTCCTAAAATATTACTTAATTAGGCCAGTAGTAAGATATCATCTAGGCCTTTGTATTTTGGCTGGCTGGTATTTGCTTCTTTCCCATGGGAAAAAAAAAAAAAAGTAGAACTGTAGAACTGCTCTCATATAGAATTGAATAGAACAGAGTATCTTGCTGACCCTCTCTGTTTATTAAAATAAACTTCTGATAAGATGGTTAACCAGGAAGTTGAAGTAGTTCAGGGAAACTAAAGGTTACTTCTTGCTCTCACTATCTGGTGCACATTATTTCACATTTTGGAATTATATTCTGAAGGTTTTTTTTAAGTACAAGAGGTACTGAGTTTTGGATGACACTTAGGTTTCTTTTCCATGGGTACTGAATAAGTGAGAAAAAATGTCAATATTTTTATTTGTATTAACACTCCTGAGATCAGAGCAAACATTTAGTAATATGAGAGAAAGTATGCCACCTGGATTCTGGAATGTCTGCAAAGAACATAGCAGAACATGTTTGAAAGTAAAATCACCATCATTTACATTCATAAATAATTGTCATATCATATTGATTATTTCAGTTTGAAGTAATGAGGTTAATTTAACTTATTTTGATAACTGCGAAGACTGATTTTCTTATCATAGTTTCAAGTCTTTCTTCTACTTAGTATTACTGACCCAGGGAAAGGTTTGACCTGTGACCCAGAATATGATATTAAGTATTGTGTTTCTGCTAAAAATCATGTGTAATTATTTTCCCTACACTAAATGATAACGTAGAAAACAAATTCTTTTTGAAAGCCATTTTCCTCAGGTAATGCACACTGTTAAATTTAATTTAGTATGTGTTTATGGAGTGAACTAGTGCTAGATGAAGAGGAAACATTACCTATAACTTTTTAAAAAGTGGAAACCAAAACCTGAGCAAATATAATTTTATTTTTGCCTGCATATTTTTCTATTAATAATATGTCTAAATTTTATCTATATTATATGAAGATATTTTATCTATAACAATCTATTCTATTTTTATCTAAATTTTCTCTATCATTTTATAGATAATTTTATCTATAATAACCTATTCTAAATTATAAATGTTTTGATTTTATTTTCTTTGAGTTTTTCTTTATGTTAAATAATGTACTTTTGTATACAAATTTGCATTTTTCCCCTAGTATTCCAACTTTTTTTTGAGATTTGCCAATTGTCTGGTTCCAACCAGAAGAGTTCCCTCAATGAAAACTAACATACTATTTATTTATAGCCCCCTCTGACTATAAGGTTCAAGGACCAAGAATCTAACAAAGTGAACTAATGATCTCTCCAAGACAGTTTTTCTTTTTTAAAAAAAGATTACATGTAGAGTCATATAGAACTTTTAATTCTGTATAAGAAGTGTATTTATAACTTTTTGATTTGCCCATAACTAATCATTATGCAATTGATATTAACAAATCTGACCTAACAGGATTTTAATGTAAAAACTGGCAAAATTTATTGATTTCAAAGCTACAATTCTTTAAACTCATCTCTCTCAGCCAAATGAAGATAACATAATACCATAATTTAATAAAGAACCAAGTAGTTTAATTTGAAGAAATGGAACCAAAAAAAAAAAAAAAAAAGCAGGCCAAGTGTGGTGACTCATGCCTGTAATCCCAGAACTTTGGGAGACTGAAGCAAGGGGATCACTTGAGTCCAGCCTGAGCAACTAAGCGAGACCCTGTCTCTAAAAACAAATAAACAAACAAAAAACACAACAAAAAACAGATTATACTGTAAGGTAAAAAACTATTGGCATTATCTCCACAATCTAAAGCATTTCTAAATAAAACTGATTATGAAAAGTCTAAAACTAGTTTTAAAATTTCTTCTAAAAAATGATCAAATTTTTTAACAATAGAATTGCAATTGTTTTCACGTCTTTTTAAACCCAGGCCATGTTTACATGTGACAAGCTGCTATTCCCTCTCATTGCTCATGGATGTAGAAGAATGTTTTAAAGATATATTCTTTTACCGAATCAGAGTCAGTCACTGGGTGGATACTAACACTGTTAATTGAAATAGGCAACCCGAAAGGACAAGTACTCAAAAGTCATTCAGAGTATAGATGTAGATTTGTGTAGATTCTAGTATGTTTTATTAAAAGCAATTTTGAAGCTGTGTGTGTGTGTTTGTGTGTGTGTGTGAGTGTCTGTGTATGTGTATATGTCAAACATACACAATCAATTTTTCTATATTAGGGTTACATGTCTATTCATAGAAGTATAGATCACATATCTGTAAAGTATACTTTCAATTATCCAAGAAGACATTGACTTTTTATGGAGGAGGAGTTAGAAGATGGTGGTTATGGTGAAAAGCAATTATAGAGGATTTGCAAAAGTAATTTAAACTACTGTTAATCATCTGAATCATCTACATATTGGGAGTTGTTTATTGTGTAGAACCGCATGGTAGATAATAAATACCATGGTGTCTTTTCTTCCATCATGCGGGACCTTGAGTTCCTTGACCAATCACACACATCTTGGAGTAATGCTCTATTTCTCCACTCCCTGCCCATCCTTAGCCCATAGCAATGGCTGACCACATAGAAAAGGCTGGAAAGCCCAATGGCTTGCAGTCCAACTGGAGGAGTTATGTGAGGAGGAGAAGGCACAGGGGGTGAATATGCAGCTGGGAATTTCCATCTAATGGAACTTCTAAATGAGAAACAAATAGATGCAGAAAAAAGTGAAAGCCACTATGAAACAAACAATAAATAACAACCTAGGCAACATGGTGAGACCCCGTCTCTACAAAAATTTTTTTAAAAATTAGCCAGACACGGTAGCATGCACCTGTGGTTTCGGCTACTTGGGAGGCTGAGGTGAGAGGATTGCTTGAGCCTGGAAAGTTAAGGCATCAGTATGCCATGATTGTACCACTGGACTCCAGCCTGTCTCTGGCAAATTTACTGATCTCACAGCTACAATTCTTTAAACTCATCTCTCTCAGCCAAATGAAGATAACATAATACAATAATTTATAAAGAACCAAGTAGTTTAATTTGAAGAAACGTAATAAAAAAAGGGCCAAGTGCAGTGGCTTACGGCTGTAATCCCAATCCTGTCTCAATCAATCAATAATTATAAAAATAGACAATAACATTTTTGTTATTTTTTTGCCAAGCAGTTTACACAATTATGTACATTTATGAACACAGTTTATTTTTGTAGTTTGCATATTTAGTGCATGCAAATGTTTGAACTCTTAGTTTACTCTTTTGGATATAAAACAGTATACCTATTGTTAAATGTAAGATGCAATTTAACTCGTACATTTGCAGTAAATAACAATATTCTGTCTCTGTTTTTACATGGATTATTTTTGGTTTTATATTGATTTGACATATTGCATGATTGCTATTCACTCCCTCTTCATTACCTTGCTTATAGTCACATAAATAAGTACATAGATGTATTATCATGCACATTTTTACCTGGGAAGGATTTGAAAATAATTTAAAAATATTAATTTGTTTTGAAAAACTCTTGTGCATTTGTTCGGAGTGACGTTAAAAGAGTGATAAAAATTTAGACAATTCAGATAATGAGCCCTGGAATGCTCAGTAATTAGCACCTTTGAGAAGGCTAGAGTCCTGAAAATAAGCAACGCACTCCCCGCTTCCCTACCATGCTGTTATTATTATTGTTCCAGTGTACATTAACCTGTTGTTTTCTACAGCCACCACACAATAAATAGAAAGCCATTGGCATTTTTTGAAGAAAAGTTTTATGTTTCATTCAAGAATAAATTCTGTCAGCAACCGCTGCTGCAAGCGTTACCTATGAAAAACCTGTGATACTAATGGGAAGCTATTAAGATGAACAAGTGAAAGAACAGGAATTAAAAAGAGAATTTCTCCCTACAGTTAGGGAGGTGGGATCCTTCAGTGAAGAGTGGAATTCATGATAGACATAGTATGACCCAGCTGTTTGGGAACATTAAAAATCCCTTCACTTAAGCTGTTGAAAGCTGAAAAAAAGACCAAATGTTTTCCATCTCAAAACACATTTTACTTAGCTATGTTTTGAAAGCTGCTATCTAAACATTTTTTAAAAAAATAACCCAGCATATTTTAACATGATTCTTTCCTTGGGTGCAAATCAGCAGTTATAATTTAATTTAGGAAAGAGAGTGAAAAATGTAGAAGGAAGAGCCACATTTTATTCCTCTACCTTCTTGTTTATCTTTCCTTAAAGTACTTAAAGGACATAAAACAAGGAAATAAAAAAGTCACTAGCATACAGTTTTGTTAGCTTATCTTGTGAACATTTAACATTATGCCTCAAATTTCGTATGGTACATAAAGTGTTTTGCCTTGCAAGATCGTGTATACAGCACTTCAAAAAAGCCAGGGGGACAGCTCACTAAATGTAATAGATGTGTAACAGCAGATCTTTAGATCTCTTGTATTTAGCATGACAATGTTGGGTTCTGTAGGTGCTTTAAACATGATCTCTAAAACCACATACTTTTTTCCTAGTGATGAAAAACATAGACTAATTACACACTTCTGGTATGCTATAGATGGCTTGACCATCCGGTACAATTGCAATGTTTGGTTATATTGCATCTCCTTTTGTCACTGAAATCAATCAATTTTACAACTTCATTTTCTTAGTGCATTTTCATGTTAATTTTCACTAGAATGAATGCTCAACTTAAGCTTAGTTACGGTTTGGAAATGTTTGTCAAATGGTGCAGTAAACAGTTTACTTCTATTAATAGTTTTAAGAGGTGAAATCTTAGATCTTTCCGATGACATGTATCTATATGTGTCTTCACCAAAATATTTAAGAACTTTCACTAAGCGTTTTCAAAAGATGTACTGAAACAGAGGAACCAATTCCCACCTTAAGACTCACTTTCATAAACCAATTTATTTCCTGTGAAAACCTATGTTGACTACTATGTAGACAAAACTTTTGTCAGGGAACTTTACTAGGAATGTAGCTCAGACAAGGAATATGACATGAGGTCAGTGTCATCCACCCAGGATGCAGACCACAAGTGCTTTTTGATGATAAAAGTACAAGGAAGTTTAAAATAGTGTAAATAATCAGATAAGGAAACAAATAGCAAGGACAGATATGCTAGATTTAGGAGGAAACCACCACTAACAACCCCAAATGACCTTCCCTGAGCTATGAGACATAATTATGGTTTAATGACATAATGTTAAAATCAAATATAATTGTTTTTATTAGCATACATTTTATGACATAGATTCATAGCTGGGGACAAAAAAAATTATTTTGCCTTCTTTTATTTTTACCTTTGTGTTTTTAGGGAAATCTAAGTGAAAAATGTAAGATGAAGATAGATGATTTTTTTGTAGGGTCACTTTTGAGAACCTTAGTAGATCAAAATTTTACTTCCAAGAAGTGCCTCTCTCCCTGTATTAAGTACTGAATTCCTTTTCGCGTGTATCTTTTCCTAAAAGACTGTTGTATTAGTCGGTTTTCATGCCGCTGATAAAGATATACCCAAGACTGGGCAATTTACAAAAGAAAGAGGTTTATTAGACATACCATTCCACATAGCTAGGGAGGCCTCACAACAGGGTGGAAGGCAAGGAGGAGCAAGTCACATCTTATGTGGATGGCAGCAGGCAGAGAGAGAGCTTGTGCAGGGAAACTCCTGTTTTAAAAACTATCAGATCTCGTGAAACTCATTCACTGTCATGAGGATGGTGCAGGACAGACCCACCCTCATAATTCAATCATCTCCCACTGGGTCCCTCCCACAACATGTGAGAATTATGGGAACTACAAGATGAGATTTAGGAGGGGACACAGAGCCAAACCATATCAACTATAATTTAAATATATTTAATCAATGAGAAGCTAATTGAAAAAATAGCATGATGCCACAAACCAAACATTGGTTCAAATTTGTTCTTACTTTGATTAAGATTGAGCCTTGGCAAAATCATGTTGCTTCGCTGGCCTCCATTTAATTACTAGTACACAGCATAGATTCCCTGATGTCCCCAGAGTATATTTTGGTCTTGAAAATACCCCCAGTGGTGTTTCTTTTATTAATCTAATGTTTATTACTAAACTGAGATTAGGGGTCCTAAGAGTCCCTGTCAGTCAGTGGTTGGCTCGGAGTGACCTTAAATGCCAACTCCCAATTACCAAGGACATAGTATCTTTGGCATCTTAACAGACCAGTCTTTCAGGTCATTATGTCTGAAATAATGTAGCCTTGGAAAAGAACATGGCAGAATATACAGGCAGATTGATCAGGGTTTGAATCCCATTTTTAATACCTACCAGTTGGGTGACTTTGGGCTACTTCTATACTCAATCTTATTGAGTTCAGTTTTGTCATCTGTAAAACAAGGATAATAATCACCTTATAGTCAGTGAGTTGTTACATGAAATGATGTATACTAAGCTTTCTACATAGAATAGGCACTTAATAAAGATTGTATTATAATTACTATTTTTTATCATCTTGCCAGTGTCTATTACTTCTATTACTTCAATGACTTGCTAATTGGTCACCCAGGATCCACTTGCCCTGCCCCTACCCCAATACACTTGCCACATTGTTGCCAGTGGAGTTTTCAAAGATGAGAATTTGGCAAGGATTATGTCTGATTTGTTTCTGAAAGAAGGAGTACATGAGTGAAATTAACACGACTGACTAATGTTAGTAATAAAATATTTAAGTACACTTGCTTTAAAAGAAAAAAAATGAATGGATATCTTTTGCCTACATATCCAATCTTAGCCAAATTACTTACAAAGAAGTTAAATCCAGGGGCCTATTTTTAAGTAACTACAGCACAGAAAACTGCACTGAATAGTATATATTTAGGCATTATGCTTATGATTTAAAAGTGTTTTGTGCTTTTTATTATTATTATTATCATTATTGCAAATGAGTTGAATATAATGTAGATATAAAGTCCTTGGTTGTTAAACAAAATAGGAAGACCCATTATCTGAAATAAAATATTTCTAGTTTGCCTACAAAACGTTATGCCTGGATATGAACCTTTAGTGTGTTAGTAATTATTAGATTAAAAAAAGAATTACTCTTACTGCTTTCATATTTTACCAGAAGAATTATTTCTAAATTTTCCTTTAATTTATTCTGACAGATTCACCCAGCACTGAGTATGAAACTGTCTGGTATATTGGAATCCATCGGAAAATTAATCTATCTGTTTGGAACACACATATGAAGATAAACATACCTAACCTACTACAATCTATATTTTTAAAATATGTGAGGATGATTACGTGAGGATGATTTTACACACCTAATGAACAATAGTATGCTGGGTTTTTTGCAAAGCAGTTAAATGAACGTTGAAAATATGTTTCGCCTAAGCTCCCAGTAATATTATTTTCCGCTTTTGCCTATCTTTTGAATGACAGCAGGTCTCACCTCTTTCATGAAGCTTCCCCTACCATGCCATCCTTTATCCATCTCCCTTCTGTTTGAATCTCTGCAGCACTTAACATTCGAATGACATAATTTAGTACTTAATGACGTACAGTCTTGTACTATTTGCCGTTCTTTCAAGTAGCTTAGTCTTGTCTCTCTAAATAGATTGCATGGGACTTAACAGCAGGGACAATGGTTTAATATTAATTTTTTGTTTCCTCTGCCTTCTAAACCTTATCCTGCAGCATGTTTGGTTTGGTAATTTTCAACCTGTGAGTCAAAAGCCAAGGAATCAGAGAGAGTGCTGTGGGGCCAGGGAAATATCCCAGAGCTATTCTCTGATGGTCTGAGGACATCAGGCAACTGAATTCTCCGTATCCACCAAAGAGCTGTGGCTGGTGTGCTTGGTATCTATTGCTGCCCCACAAATTATCCCAAAACTTAATGGTTGAAAACAACAGTAAACATTTAGTGTTCTCAGTTTCTATGGTTTAGGAATTCAGGGGTGGCTCAGCTAGCTGGGCAGTTGTGGTCCAGGGTCTCATCAGGTCACAGGGAAAATGGCAGCTTCAGTCACCTAAAAATGGGACTGAGGCTGGATAATTTGTTTTCCAAGGCCACTCTTTCACATAGCTGGCACATCCTAATTGTTCCCCGCATAGGCCTTTCTACAGGCTGCATCATATCCACAGAACATGAATGACAGGGAGAGAGAGAGAGAGAGAGACTCTTCTTTTTTATAATCAAATTTCAAAACTCACATAGCATCCCTTTCTCCTCATTCTGTTTATCGGAAGTGTGTCACTAAGCTCAGCTTATATTCAACATGAGGAGAATTAGACCACTTTTTGAAGAAGGGGAGAGAAAATTTAAAATTTCTTAATATATTTTAAAACCATCACAGATGGGTATTCAGTATATTTATCTTCTCTCTTTACCATCAACGTGGTACCTGGAACATGGAGAGGATAAATGAGTGAATGGTTTGTCTTTAATCTGTGACCAGTATTTTTTTTAATCAGGAAAAAAAAGTCTTTTGTCTTCTTTTAGGTCTGTCCATATCCTCTAAATTCTGAACTGTTGGCTCAGGGAATTTGTAAATATCCAGGTCAGACCCCTTTTGATGGCAGTGTCAAGGTAAGAATGCAAAAATAAGACTGTGCCTCTCTTGCTGTATATAAGGATGCTGAGGCTCAGCTGCCATTGCCAGCACTTATATTAGGGTTGGTCTTCCCAGTAGTGGCAATGATTCCCCAGGATCCATGCATGGTTCAGTTCCCTTATGACTAACTATAGGGTGTGGTATGTAACCAATGGCCAACACAATAGATTTTTTTCATTGGATTTTAAAGCTACTTAAAGGTGGTGACCATGACTTAATCATCAATGTACACTAAATGTCAAATGATGTGCCAGGATATAGAAGATTCCTCATAAATACTTGTGGAGCAAATTGAACTAAGTTGGTTTACGTGTTGAACTCATTGTCCTGCTTTGCAACATAAACTCCCAGCCAGCAGAACCAATTTTTGCACCCAAAATTGAACAGCGTCTACTGAGGTCCTCTGGATTCACACTAATGTTTTATCTTGTATATTGTCCTTCCTTTTCTGTGAATGTTTTGTCTTCTTTTTACCACATTCTGAAGAAATGTATATTTTTAAAACATTTTTAATTTTTAATTTTTGTGGGTACATAGCAGGTGTATGTATTTATGGGGTACATGAGATATTTTGATCCAGGCATATAATGCATAATAATATCATCAGGTTAAATGAGGGTATCAATAACTTCAAGCATTCAGCCTTTTTTTGTTTTACAAACAACTCAGTTATACTCTTTTAGTTATTTCAAAATGTACAATATATTATTTTAGTTATTTTAAAATGTACAATAATATATTGTACAATAATATATTGTACATTTTAAAATAACTAATATATTATTGTTAAATATATAATATATATTTAAAATAACTAATATATTATTATACAATATATTATTGTACATTTAAAAATAACTAAAAGTTACACCCTGTAGTCACCCTGTTGTGCTATCAAGTACTAGATCTTATTCATTTAGCTTACTTCAAATATTGAGGAAAATGTAGTTTAAACATAATTTCTGTTCAAGGTTTATTTTAAAAAACACATATCATTTCTAGCGTAATTTTGAAGATTCTTATTTTTCTTCATTTTTTTTTTATCTGTCTCCAAAAAAATCCTTTCTCAGAAAATGTTTTTCCCCATTCGGATTGCAATTCCTGGCTTAGTGTTTAGACACCATTATGAATTTGTATTCCTATCACTTATTTTGGTTATTCTTCTCTGGCTCTATATGTTTCCATCTCTGTTTCTCAGAAGCAAATTGCTGCCTGAGTGACCAGAAA